>NC_000004.12:83163805-83315320 GCF_000001405.40 Homo sapiens | reverse complement strand
GAGCTTTTCAAACCCAAATGTCTGTCATTCCTTGATGGTAGGCAGCAGTTTATGGAAGTGGGTGACACAGCAAATATCAAAATACCTAAAGCAGCTTGCAAGAGTTGTTTCTGCCTAGTGGTCTTTATAGTTAATATTAAATAGTTAATTTTTTTTTTTTTTTTTTTTGAGACAGAGTCTTGCTCTGTTACCCAGGCTGCAGTGCAGTGGCACAATCTCGGCTCACTGCAACCTCCACCTCCCGGGTTTGAGCAATTCTGTCTCAGCCTCCCAAGTAGCTGGGACTACAGGTGCATGCCACTGCACCCAGCTAATTTTTGTATTTTTAGTAGAGACGGGGTTTCACCATATTGGGCAGGCTGGTCTCGAACTCTTGACCTCAGGTGATCCACCTGCCTCAGCCTCCCAAAGTGCTGGGATTACAGGCATGAGCCACTGCACTCAGCTTAAATAGCTAATATTTAATATTATTCTATAGTTATTCAAGTAATTCAGGCCAAAGACTTAGAAACAAAACAAAAAGCCACTTTTAAGGAGAAAGGGTGTAAGTTTGCCAGATAGATAGAGATCTTTCTTTTTTAACTACAAGAGTTCAGGAATGAATTACTCTTTAACAAACGACTATAGATATACATGAAAATTGGAAGGACTTATTATGCATATGATAATCAATTTAAAGACAACACTTAAAATTATATTGTTGCCACTCTCAAAAAGTGGTAATAGAACAGCTAATGGTTTAAAAAGCAGAGTACAGAAGTTCCCAAACTTATGGCACCTTAATATCGCAGAAAACTTTTTAAAGCATGCCTAGGCCACAAAAAATACCTGTATTTTGATTATTAAATTGTAAGGTCTACACAACCTAATAGTAATAGGTCCAATAGTAATGCTGTCCAATAGATGTTGATGTTTTTTTCCTTGCAAACTTAAAAGATCCTACAGTGCCTCTGTAAATAGCACTGCCTGGTTAGAGTTGAATTTCAGATAAATAATTTTTTTCATGTTAATTATTTTTCTTTTCTTTACTTTTTTTTTTGTTTGTTTTTTTGTTTTTTTTTTTGAGACAGGATCTCATTCTGTTGCCCAGGCTGCTGTGCAATGGCATGATCATGGCTCACTGCAGCCTTGACCTCCCTGGGCTCAGGTGATCCTCCCACCTCAGCCTCCCAAGTAGCTAGCTGGGACTACAGGTGCTTACCATCATGCCCGGCTAATTTTTGTGTTTTTTGTAGAGATGTGGTTTTGCCATGTTGCCCAGGCTGGTCTTGAACTCCTGGGCTCAAGTGATCCGCCCGCCTCGGCCTCCCAAAGTGCTAGGATGACAGGCATGAGCCACTGCACCTGGCCCCTGTGCGAAGTATTTCTTAATGGTTACATAGGACATACACTAAACATTATTTATTGTCTATATGAAGTTCAAGTTTAACTAGGTGCCCTGCACTTTTAGTTGCTAAATCCTGTAGCTGTACCCATGCATTCACTGGTGCTCCCCAGCTTGCCTTGCACAGAGTTTGGAAACCATAGTCCTATAACTCTAGGCCAATTTTTTAATGTAAAATTTGATTCATTTTAAATTAATAAATCATAACAGGAATTTTTTTAAAAATTGTTTTAAATATAATTAAAATTATCAAAATATTTTTTAACTGAACTTGTGACTAGAGATATTTAGATTATGAAGAGTGGGGTTTATGCTAACTAATGACAGTCTGGCTATGCATGTGGAGCACTGAGCTATAAATTGTGGCTTCCCCAATTCTCCTGATGTCACTTGAACAAAACCTAAGTGTCAGACCAGAGCTTCTGGTATCTTCCATGGGATTTCATTCAACAGCTGGAGCAAATGAAGTCAGATTGATTTTTTTTAATTTGTCCAATTTTGTTGTCTCAAAAACATAATTATAATCATTTATTAGAACTAGAATTTCTTCAGTTTAACAACAGAAATAGTTATTCATTATGAAAAGCGAATCTGGAGGCCTTCATTGTGGTGCCAATCTAACCATTAAATTGTGACGTTTTTCTTTTAGGAAGCTCTGTAGATGTGCTATACACTTTTGCAAACTGCTCAGGACTGGACTTGATCTTTGGCCTAAATGCGTTATTAAGAACAGCAGATTTGCAGTGGAACAGTTCTAATGCTCAGTTGCTCCTGGACTACTGCTCTTCCAAGGGGTATAACATTTCTTGGGAACTAGGCAATGGTGAGTACCCCAGGGAACAATTCATTAATAAGGAGATCCCCCACTAGCATTATTTCTTTTCTTTTCTTTTTCTTTTTTTTTTTTTTTTTTTTGAGACAGAGTCTCGCACTGCTGCCCAGGCTGGAGTGCAGTGGCGCCACCTCGGCTCACTTGAAGCTCTGCCTCCCAAATTCACGCCATTCTCCTGCCTCAGCCTCCCGAGTAGCTGGGACTACAGGCACCCGCCACCGCGCCCAGCTAATTTTTTTTTTTTTTTTTTTTTTTTTTTTTTTGCATTTTTAGTAGAGACGGGGTTTCACCGTGTTAGCCAGGATGGTCTTGATCTCCTGACCTCGTGATCTGCCCTCCTCGGCCTCCCAAAGTGCTGGGATTACAGGCGTGAGCCACCAGGCCCGGCTAGCATTATTTCTTATGACACTTTTTTTTTTTTTTTTTTGAGACGGAGTCTCGCTCTGTCGCCCAGGCTGGAGTGCAGTGGCGCCATCTCGGCTCACTGCAAGCTCCACCTCCCAGGTTCACGCCATTCTCCTGCCTCAGCCTCCCGAGTAGCTGGGACTACACGCACCCGCCACCACGCCCGGCTAATTTTTTTGTATTTTTAGTAGAGACGGGGTTTCACCGTGTTAGCCAGGATGGTCTCTATCTCCTGACCCCATGATCTGCCCGCCTCGGCGTCCCAAAGTGGTGGGATTACAGGCGTGAGCCACTGCGCCCGGCCAACACTCTTTTTATTATTAGCAAATATACTTCTGCCTGGGCACATTCTTGCAAGTGCTCAACAATGCAACTTTTGGAAGTGCATGTGGCAGAAACTCCTACTGTATTTATTCCAGAACCTATTATTGCTAATCCCAGTTTATGTTACATTTGAAGTGAGAACCAGTTGGAGCCAGCAACGTTCCCAGCTCCAAAGTTCCCTTGAGATTTTCAGAATCACTTAACCCTATTATGCTTGGCAAGCTGGACTCAGCAAAACTGGGAAGTCAGCAGTTTGTTTTATTCATCCCTTCCTTTCTCATTTTCTCAAATGTGTCAGTTAATCTCAGTAACCCCATTGCAACCTTCATTACCTGCCCAAACGGTCTAGAACTTGCCAGTATAGAATCCTACGTGGGTCAAGCTCCTGACTGTCTCCTTCTTCACTCTTTTTTTGCAAAGAACTTGTAAATTTTAACTATAAGTATTCATGATTCGCCACATTTATTCAAAACATAGAGTGCTTTTTCCACATATCAGCCAATGGAAATAAGGATTAAATGGGAAATGAAATGTAGTAATAGGATAAGCACAAGTCTTCTTCCTGCTCAAACTTTTTTTTTTTTTTTTTTTTTTCAGACAAGATCTTGCTCTGTTACCCAGGCTGGAGTGCAGTGGCGTGTTCATAGCTCAATGTAACCTCCAACTCCTGGGCTCATGCAATCTCTCACACCTCAGCCCCCTGATTAGCTAGGACTACACTATGCCTAGCCAATTTTTTTTCTTTTGTCTGGTTGTGTTGCCCAGGCTTGTCTCGATCTCCTGGCCTCAAGTAATCCTCCTGCCTCGGCCTTCTAAAGTGCTGGGATTATAGGCATGAGCCACTGTGCCCGGTCTCAAACCTTTTTTTCCAAAGTAAATGAAGTTATTAGATATGGAATATAGTCTAGTTCCCAGATATCCATATCCATTGGTTTATTACCCTCATTATTAACTTCAAATTGTTTAATAGACCCTCATATCTCAGTTATACAGTTAAAATTTTTGTTTTGTTTTTCTGGAGTATCTTATTTATAACTTTGAGTTTTACTTTACTTATTTATTTTATTTTTTGAGACAGACGCTTGCTCTGTCACTCAGGCTGGAGTGCGGTTGCGTGATCATGGCTCACTATGGCCTCGACCTTCTGGGCTCAAGTGATCCTCTCCCTCAGCCTCCCAAGCTGAGACTACAGGCATGCACCACCACATCTAGCTAATTTTTTTTTTTCCCCATGGAACAGGGCTTTACTATGTTACCCAGAGTGGTCTCAAACTCCTGGCCTCAGGGGATCCTCCTGTCTCAGCCTACCAAAATGCTGGGATTACAGGCATGAGCCATAGCGCCAGACCTGGTTTTACTTTTCTTGACTTTGAATTACAAGTTTTTGTAATTTGGAAAATGTTTTGTTGCTTTTAAATACTGCTATATGTTTGCTTTTAAATACAACATTTCTCGATATATATTTTGAGAATTGCTGTCTTTCAGAACCTAACAGTTTCCTTAAGAAGGCTGATATTTTCATCAATGGGTCGCAGTTAGGAGAAGATTTTATTCAATTGCATAAACTTCTAAGAAAGTCCACCTTCAAAAATGCAAAACTCTATGGTCCTGATGTTGGTCAGCCTCGAAGAAAGACGGCTAAGATGCTGAAGAGGTAGGAACTAGAGGATGCAGAATCACTTTACTTTTCTTCTTTTTCCTTTTGAGACAGAGTCTCACTCTGTCAGCCAGACTGGAGTGCAGTGGTACAATCATGGCTCACTGCAACTTCGACCTCCCAGGCTCAAGCAATCCTCCCATCTCAGTCCCACAAATAGCTGGGACTACAGGTGCACATCACCACACCTGGCTACTTTAAAAAAATTTTTTTGTAGAGATGGGGTCTCCCTGTGTTGCCCAGGCTGGTCTCTTGAATTCCTGTGCTCAAGCCATCCTTCCACCTCAGCCTCCCAGAGTGCCAGGATTACAGGCATGAGCCACCACACCCAGCCACCACTTTTCTTAAAAAAAAAAAAGATTCTCTCTGGTAGACAATCCTCAATAGTCCACATGTTATTAAACAATCTGCTGCCTGAATACATGATTTACCAAAAAAAGGAAATTTTGACGGGTTCAGAATATCAAGGGATCTGAGGCAAATGTCACCTATGATAAAATTTGCTATCAAAATTAGGAAGTTTGTGTTTACCTGATCCTAAAGCAGTAACCAGCCCATTTCTAGGGAATAAAACTCTCATGCGTATATTGTGCATATATATGTATTATATGACTGAGTGATAATAAAATTTTTTTTCTAGCTTCCTGAAGGCTGGTGGAGAAGTGATTGATTCAGTTACATGGCATCAGTAAGTATGTCTCCTATTCTTAATACTAGGAAAGTAAGGCTAGCTTTATTTATTACCTAGTATTCAAAAAGTTAGTTCATTTAACTGCCAATTGACTGCAGTTCAAATAAGAAACAAATAGTGTCTCAAGTAGCACTGTACTCCAATTTTAATATTAATAAAAAAAATTTAAAGTTATTTTAAATAATGTAGTGGTTTCTATAAAGATCACTTTATACAGAAGAACAGTGCCAATTAACCCATGGAACATATAAGTAGCTAAAACCAATTGCTTGCCAAAGAACCAGTAACCCAGGAGTACATGTACTTGCCACTGTGTTTTTTCAAGACAGAGTAACTGATTTCTAGTTACTTGCATAGAATGGACTCCTCCTCATAACTCCCTTCCATCTTGGTCTTTCCCTAGTAGAACTTCTACCTTTTTTTAGTAACAGGTGAGTGGGAGAGGTAAGAAGGAGAATAAGGTCAGCAATTAACCTAAAAGCAGAAAGTAAAATTTGTTATTTTTTTTCTGAATATTTTCTGTGTAATTTAGCTACTATTTGAATGGACGGACTGCTACCAAGGAAGATTTTCTAAACCCTGATGTATTGGACATTTTTATTTCATCTGTGCAAAAAGTTTTCCAGGTAATAGTCTTTTTAAACTTTTTAATGTAAAACCAGAATCCTTATTTTATAGTCTAGCTAGTTCTAAATTCTATAGGTATGTATATTTACATGTTTTTCTAATTTTAGAGAACAAGCACTATGACTTATCCACTGTTAGTTTTCCCCTTAGCATTGGGTCTTACCCCATGTACGTGATTAGAAATTTGAAATATTTCCAATAGCCTTTAGTAGAATTAACTCACATAGATGATAAGAATGGGTTGGTTCACTTCATGTTCCTTCCACAGCCTACTATTTCAATAAAAGAAAGTTTCCCAAGACCTAAATGACTATGAACATATTTTATAACTATATAGGAGGGGTGGGTCTAGGAATACAAAGTTTTGAATGCTGTTAATCTTCAACACCACAGTTGAAACCACAGGTCAGCTTTTTTGCAATTACCATGGATACTTTTCTGTTCTATAGGTGGTTGAGAGCACCAGGCCTGGCAAGAAGGTCTGGTTAGGAGAAACAAGCTCTGCATATGGAGGCGGAGCGCCCTTGCTATCCGACACCTTTGCAGCTGGCTTTATGTGAGTGAAGCAGCGCTGGCCTTAGGGGTCAGAGTGCAGCTCTTCTCCATCCTTCTATTCTGCTGAAATAGCTCCCCAGCCAAAAAGCAGATCAAAGACCATTTCAGTGGCTGAGCCCCAAAATTCATGCCAGATTTTGCAAGAAAATGATTTACTAAAGCTTGAGGGACATCTTTAACAAGTGTTCCAAATTAATCACTATAAGGATGAATTGTTTCAGAAATTTTGGCCTTTAATTATGGCCCATAAATATGTCAAGTAGTCCTTACTCTAAAGAAGTACACTGTAAAAGAATGCATATAGCCGGATATGGTAGTTCCCTGTAATCCCAATACTTTGGGAGGCCAAGGTGGGAGGATTGCTTGAGCCCAGGAGTTTGAGGCTGCAGTGAGTTATGATGGTGCCACTGCACTCTAGACTGGGCAACAGAGTGAGACTGTCTTTTTTTTTCCCCTCTGTCACCCAGACTGGAGGGCAGTGGCACGATCTCACCTCACTGCAACCTCTGCCTCCCGGATTGAAGCGATTCTCCTGCCTCAGCGTCCTGAGTAGCTGGGACTACAGGAGTATCACCGCACTGGGCTAATTTTTGTATTTTTAGTAGAGACGGGGTTTTGACATGTTGCCCAGGCTGGTCTGAAACCCGTGAGCTCAAGTGATCTGCCTACCTCAGCCTTCCAAAATGCTGGGATTACGGACATGAGCCACCACGCCCGGCCACACCCTGTCTCTTAAAAAAAAAAAAAAATGCAAGTTAGAGCATATTACAGCTTTGTCTCTCAGGAGGATACTTAGTGTATGTAGCTATAATTCATAGATTCCCAAGAAGTTTAGAGCCTAAAGTATGAGGTCCCACCAGAGGGGCTATCATTAAATTTAAAGATTTGTTAAATCATCTCATTGTCCAACACCACAAACTTGATTGCTTTAAAATACTGGTTTAGTTACATTTAGTAACTCTATTAGTGCTTTTAATCTATACTGCTATATCCTCACATTGAGATTTTTTTTCTTTTCTCTTCCATCTTCATTCTTTTTTCTCTCATCCTCATTCTTATAAGCCTAGAATACATCACAAATCCTTTATGCCCATGGAAGCAAGAGGAATAAAGAATGGAGATGTTTGTTTTGCCATTAACTAAAGATCTGGGGTGTCGGGGAGAAGGGGGATAGAGAAGGAGAAGTGGGAAGAGGTGTCCATAATAGCTTAGGTGCAATTCTGCTTATTTTACATTTTACCCCCGCTGACTGCCACTTTTTCTTCAGCCCTCACACATTGTTTGTGCAGGGACCTCATAGGACCAGGAATTGTCTATAGAGGTGGGAATTTGTCTCACCCTGAAAGGGATACCTCTAGCATGGTAATAGTCTTCTAGGATTTGTTATCATATGGAAAGATGTAAAGGGAGGGATTCTGCTGCTGCTGCTGCTGCTGCATGCAGTTGCCATTTCATTTAAATGACTTATTTATAATTGATGACACTTTTCTGGCTTCCTGTTAATTCCTCCCTCAAAGATCAATAAACCAGAACCAGGCATGGTGGCATGCACTTGTGGTCCTGTAACCACCCAACAGGTTCACCTTGCCTGCTGTCTAGATAGAGCCAATTATCAAGACAGGGGAATTGCAAAGGAGAAAGAGTAATTTATGCAGAGCCAGCTGTGCAGGAGACCAGAGTTTTATTATTACTCAAATCAGTCTCCCCGAACATTCGAGGATCAGAGCTTTTAAGGATAATTTGGCCGGTAGGGGCTTAGGAAGTGGAGAGTGCTGGTTGGTCAGGTTGGAGATGGAATCACAGGGAGTGGAAGTGAGGTTTTCTTGCTGTCTTCTGTTCCTGGATGGGATGGCAGAACTGGTTGGGCCAGATTACCGGTCTGGGTGGTCTCAAATGATCCACCCAGTTCAGGGTCTGCAAGATATCTCAAGCACTGATCTTAGGTTTTACAACAGTGATGTTATCCCCAGGAACAATTTGGGGAGGTTCAGACTCTTGGAGCCAGAGGCTGCATTATCCCTAAACCGTAATCTCTAATGTTGTAGCTAATTTGTTAGTCCTGCAAAGGTAGACTTGTCCCCAGGCAAGAAGGGGGTCTTTTCAGAAAAGGGCTATTATCATTTTTGTTTCAGAGTCAAACCATGAACTGAATTTCTTCCCAAAGTTAGTTCAGCCTACACCCAGGAATGAAGAAGGACAGCTTAAAGGTTAGAAGCAAGATGGAGTCAATGAGGTCTGATCTCTTTCACTGTCATAATTTCCTCAGTTATAATTTTTGCAAAGGCGGTTTCAGTCCCAGCTACTTGGGAGGCTGAGACAGGAGGATTAATGGAGCCCAGGAGTTTGAGGTTGCAGAGAGCTATGATCACGCCACTGCACTCCAGCCTGGGTGACAGAGTGAGACCCTGTCTCTAAATAAATAAATAAGTAAATAAATAAATACATAAATAAAATCAAGATGGTGTGCAATTAGAATTGAGCGATTTTGTTTCCAAACCTCAAGAAAGCTTGGTCTTGCTCTGTCCCAGGTGGCTGGATAAATTGGGCCTGTCAGCCCGAATGGGAATAGAAGTGGTGATGAGGCAAGTATTCTTTGGAGCAGGAAACTACCATTTAGTGGATGAAAACTTCGATCCTTTACCTGTAAGTGACCATTATTTTCCTAATTCTAGTGGAGTAGATTAAAGTCAACTCAGGACCTCTGGTGTTAACCTCCTATGAACAGTCAGTCCTCTCAGTAACTAGCCAAATCATGAGATGATGAATTAGAAGGAGCCTTAGATAGCATCCAATCTAACATTTTTTTGTGTGTTTGAAGAGAAGAAATCAAGAGCTAGGAATAACTTTTTAAAGGTAAGCCATTTGCAGTATAGTGTGGATTTTGTTTAAAAGGGGATAATTTGAAATTTTATGACTCATTATACAAGACAAAATAAGTTGGATTTTCAAATGTTTTACAAAGTAAATCAAAGTTATAATTGCCTACAGTACGCAAAGCTTCAAAACATTTTTTATGTTATGAAATTGTAATTTATTTAACCTTAAAATGAGCCAGTACCATGTGTTTGCTTAAAAATCTCATGCTAAGAATTTACTATGTTGTTAATAATCTTCAAGATATTTATGAATAAAGTCTTATTTCTAATCCTTCCTCCAACTGTATCTGGTGCTAAATCAGGAAATGTTTCTTCCCAAAAAGCCTCGTGGAAGATCTGTATGTCTAAATATATGTCAGGGATAATACAGATGTAGCCCTGAGAAGCATGACCTTGATTTTTATAGTCTAAAATGTCATTTGCAGATATATATTTTCTAAGAATAATTCCTAAAAGAATTATTTGAATGTTGTAGGAAAGCTAAGAAATTTTGCAAAGAGCGTACGTGAAAATATAAGCTAGGCTTTTGTGGTTTGTGGATAGACTTCCCAACAAAATTGCTTTTTATCTATAGTGATCCAAGCTTGTGGAACATATTAGTCATCTTTTTTTAGAAAATTCTTAGAAAAGTGATCTTGCAAAAATGGAATTTATCTTTCCCCAAGTATATTCTGTCATGTATAGAGTTAAACTAAGCATAGTAATTTCACCAGACAAACATTCAAAATCTACTCCTGACCTTTTTATCTCATCCAAATTTTCCCAGGGCCCAGACATAAACCTTTGCCTTACGAACTCTTTGTATATGCACTAAATATGCTTCTCCTTCAAGGTTCTCAGTCAGCTAGAAAAATGTGCAAGAGTAAATGGTACCCTTCTCACTTGTAGATCCAAGAGAATTAGACTTAAACTCACTCTACATGTCTGTGACTTTATTTTATTTGCATGACAGTCCTGTGAGGTGGCAAGGCAGGTATCTTGGATCCATTTTTTAGATAAGGAAGTTCAAATTGAGAAGAGGTTGCATGATTTACAGGAAGCCATACTGTAGTCCTATGTTACTCTTAAAAATCCCATTCAAATCCTGCTTCTGAGGCCTGCATACTTTCTACCCTACCAGTCATTGACCCATGCTTATGTCTCCTTTGAAAACATTGATTCCACTCTTGTCTCCAGTGAAAAAGTGGAATTTAAGCAGAGAAACAAAAGCCATTTGTCTTGTTAAGTCTACTTTCCCTCTACTTTCAAGAAGGAAAGTTGGGGTATGTGTTGAATGGTGATTTATTTATTTATTTATTATTTTAAAAATTGATACAAGGTCTTACTGTATTGTGCAGGCTGGTCTCAAACTCCTGGGCTCAAGTGATCATCCCACCTCAGCCTCCCAGTGTTGGGATTACAGCATGAACCATTGTGCCCACCACCGATCCGCAGTTTTTTAAGAAAAACTTTTACTATAGAAAATTTTAATCATATACAAAATACAGAGGAAAGTATATGAACCCACTTTAGGAGACTAGAATATGCCACCCCAAAATATGCCACTTTGGCATAAGGATTATTTCGAGCTAAAGGCAACTGGGAAGAAACACATAGAAGAAAAGTTCTCTGTCCTTCTCCATTTGCCTAAAAGCAGGACATGAATCTTAAAAGTCCCCCTCCTTCCCTTTCTACCAGGAAAAACAAGAGTTAATCACTGAAGATAACTTCAGACCCTTATCAGTGTAGAGATGGCACTAGAAGAATCTATATTACATACTCATTTATTTTCCTTCCCACAACTTGCCACCCCAGAGACTAAAAATCCTTTTCCTTTGTCATGTCTCTTGTCCAAAAATTTGCTCTATAAGCTGGAGTTCTAAGCCACCTCTTTGAGAATTACTTGTTCCCTGGTATTTTCTGTTAACATACATGTATTAATATACATGTTAACAAGCTTCTGTTTGTTTTCTCCTGTTTTCTGTCTTGTTACAGAGGTCCATCCCAACTAAGAACTAAAGAGTAGGAGGAAAATATAATTTCCTCCTGCATACTTTGATCTTGTTTAATCCGTAATCCTTCCCACTTTTCACCTCCTACCTATTAGATTACTTTGAAGCAAATTTCAGATATATTACTTTATCTATAAATATTTCAGTATGTGCTAGGTGTGGTGGCTCACACCTGTAATCCCAACACTTTGGGAAGCTGAGGCAGGAGGATCACTTGAGCCCAGGAGTTCAAGACCAGCTACGGCAACAAAAAATCAAAAACTTATCTGGGCATGGTGGCACATGCCTGTGGTCCCAGCTACATGAGAGGCTGAGGCAGGAGGATCGCTTTAGCCCAGGAGGTTGAGGCTGCAGTAAGCTGCATTCACACCACTGCACTCCAGCCTGGGTGACAGAGTAAGACCATGTCTCAAAAAAATACATATTTTAGTATGTATCCTTTTTGTAAAAACACAATACTTTTATCATACTTTAAATAATAACAATAATTCCTTAGTATCACCAAATATTTTGTCAGTGTCTCACATTTTCCTTGTCTAAAATATTGTTGATAGTTATTCAAATCAGAATCCAAACAAGGTCCATATATTACATTTGGTTGATAAGTCTCTTAAGTTTGTTCATCTTTAAGTTATTCCTCCCTCTCTTTCATCTCTTGTAATTTATTAATGTGAAAAAACAGGTAATTTGTTCTATAGTATTTCCTACATTATAGAGTTTGCTAAATTTATTCCCTATGATATCATTTAGCATGTTCCTCTGTCCCCTGTGTTTCCTGTAAACTGGTAGTTATACCTAGAAGCTTGAGTTTATTCAGGTTTTTAATTGTATTTTTTTGCAAGAATTCTTTATTATCTGCTTCTGGAAGCACAGAATGTCTGGTTGTGTCTGGTTTTGATCTTGACAGCTACTGATGACCATTGCCTAATCCATTACTTTATTGGGGTGGGGGGAATAAGGTTTTAAAATAAATTTTTTTTTAAGATTTTTTTAACTGTTATTTTGAGACAGTGTCTCATTTCGTTTCCCAGGCTGGAGTGCAGTGGCACAATCACGGCTCACTGCAGCCTTGACCTCCTGGGATCAGGTGATCTTCTCACCTCAGCCTCCTGGGTACCTGGAACTACAGGTGCACACCACCACACCTGGCTAATTTTTTGTATTTTGTGTACAGAAGGGGTTTCATCATGTTTCCCAGACTGGTCTTGAACTCCTGGGTTCAAGTGATCTACCCACTTCAGCTTCCCAAAATCCTGGGATTACACTTTGGCCACCGTGCCTGGCCTAAATGAAATTATTTGTCTCTAAACAGACAGAAGTTTTACTTTAAAAATTTGTCTTTGTGTGTACATGTGTTTGTGTATGTGTGTGTGTCTAAAAGTTTGGCTTTGAGCTTTGCTTTGAATTCTTGGATGAACGATAACCAAGAATACTTAAACTCTGATCATTCTTGACAGATATCCCCTACAGGCTATGGCCTTTTGAATTGTGTCCTCCAGTGATAAAAAGCAGCAAGCACGATACTGCTCTCAGATTCATGGTGGTCACATGTGAGGGGAAAAAAAAAAAAAAGATGAATCCTATTTAAATGCCCCCAGGATAACAGTGATACTCTTTGTAGGATAACTATTTGCTTGCCACTGGTTTCATTAAATAAGGACATAAGTAAACATCTATTTTTGTCTCTTTCTCCCCAACCACCACAACTAGGATTATTGGCTATCTCTTCTGTTCAAGAAATTGGTGGGCACCAAGGTGTTAATGGCAAGCGTGCAAGGTTCAAAGAGAAGGAAGCTTCGAGTATACCTTCATTGCACAAACACTGACAAGTAAGTATGAAACACACCCTTTACCAATCATCAAGTTTTAGTGGGTAAGCCTGTAACTTTACTCAAACACCCTGTTGCATGTGTCTATACATTGCATAAGTATAGGCAGTTGCAATTTAGTAAAGTTTTATACAACGATTTTATTTTATTTTATTTTTAGAAGAAAAATGCTACTTTTGTTGTTGTTGTTTTTTGAGACGGGGCCTCGCTCGTCACCCAGGCTGGAGTGCAGTGGTGCAATCTCAGCTCACTGCAACCTCCGCCTCCCGGGTTCAAGTGATTCTTGAAGAGGAGAACAATAATAACAACAATATTATTTTCAAAAGTTGTGACCGCAGTTTCTGGAGTTGAGAAGACATCGAGATTTTTGTAGCCTCATACTCTTGCTTTAGGTAGCAAAAAATGTTCCTAAATCTCAGGAATATTCTCTAGATAGGTTTCAATCTATCATTCCTGATAAGATGATGCTGAAATACTAATTCTAGCCAAAAAAGACCAGCTACCATTTCCGATTGTTGGTGACTGGGAACTCTGGATAGTGAGGACCCCAGTAGGAAGTAGCGAGGGGAATGGTTTGAATGGATAAATTCATAAAAAATGTCAGTAGATTTAATTTTCTTATACATTTCAGTCTTTTTATAAGGCTAGGAAAAGCCCCTGTTTTTATGGTTTATAATTTGAATTCACATGAACCCACAAAATTTGCCTTTTACCTTCCTATGTCTGAAAATGGATAGTCTGGCTGGCCTCTTAACAACCCAGCTGGCAGAGCTGTGAGGATCTCAGTGTGCTCTAGCCCAGACATTGGTAGCATGAACGGCAACATTTTTAATTGTGTTTTCAAAATAGGAGCACACTAGCGGTCTAAAACGATCATAAAAGAAGGATACTAAGAGGGCCCACTGTCATTATGGATCCTAATACTTAGGATGCATTATGGATTGTCATTATGGATACTAATACTTAGGATCACATTTGTAATTGAGTTTTTAATTGCTTAAATTAGATACATATTTCTATTAAGTTAACCTCTTTGCTTTTAGTCCAAGGTATAAAGAAGGAGATTTAACTCTGTATGCCATAAACCTCCATAATGTCACCAAGTACTTGCGGTTACCCTATCCTTTTTCTAACAAGCAAGTGGATAAATACCTTCTAAGACCTTTGGGACCTCATGGATTACTTTCCAAGTAAGTAATTTTCCTTGTTCATTCCAAACTTTCAATAAATTTATTGGTGTTTATCAGAATAGAGAGTTTGGACAGGGAGCAAAAGACAAAGTCAACTATATCAAGTTCTAATAATTCTTTTTTTTTTTTTTTTTTTTTTTTTTTTGAGACGGAGTCTCGCTCTGTCGCCCAGGCTGGAGTGCAGTGGCGGGATCTCGGCTCACTGCAAGCTCCGCCTCCCGGGTTCACGCCATTCTCCTGCCTCAGCCTCCCAAGTAGCTGGGACTACAGGCGCCCGCCACTACGCCCGGCTAATTTTTTGTATTTTTAGTAGAGACGGGGTTTCACCGTTTTAGCCCGGATGGGTCTCGATCTCCTGACCTCGTGATCTGCCCGCCTCGTCCTCCCAAAGTGTAATAATTCTTAATATTCAGGAAATTTATGTATGAATACTTACTAATATGAGTATAACTCACCCTAAGAGTCTAAAGCAAAAGGATGTGAACACAAACTAGCAGTTATCTTAGAGAATAAGTTTGCATTTCAAAATAACTTGACATATCAAGATCCACTCAACGCATTTAAATTATTTACTCTAAAAAGACATAATTCTTGGTAACACATTCACTAAAGCAAAATATACCTTTATATAATTGCTATCAAAGGTATGTGGGTTGGTATAAAATATCATACCATGTGAGATCAGTGTGATTCTTTTACAGCATTAATTTTTATTGGTTAGAGTAAGAAAAAGAATAGCTAGAGTATACTTCTTAAGTAGATTCTCATACACTTTGGTTTCAAAAACCAATTATTGACTACATCTTATAAAAGCCTGTATTCAATGGAGTGCCAAAAAATGACTATGAGTCTTGAAGAGTTAGGCATATAAATATTTTAAGGTTTCTGTTCAATGTATGTTGGAAGGAGTTCCTTTCTCATGACTATTCTCATATTGGAGCATAAAAAGAGTTTACAGGCTTGGCGCAGTGGCTCATGCCTGTAATCCCAACACTTTGGGAAGCTGAAGCAGGCAGATCACTTCAGCCCAGGAGTTTGAGACCAGCCTGGGCAATATGGCAAAACTCTCTCTACAAAATATACCAAAATTAGCCAGGCGTGGTGGTGCATGCCTGTAGTCCCAGCTACTTGGGAAGCTGAGGTGGGAGGATTGCTTGAGCCCAGGGGGGTCATGGCTGCAGTGAGCTGTGATGGTGCCTCTGTCACCCAGCCTGGGTGACAGAGTGAGACCCTGTCTCAAAAAAATAAATAAATAAAAATTAAGAGTTTACAAAATTCTCACCATCTCCTCCCATCTTTGCAAATGCCACATAAGTGATGTGTTCCAGGACTATTAGCCTCGGAACCTGAGGCAGTACAGTAAGCACGCTTTCTCCAAAGTCCTGTCCCCCACAGACAAACATTATTTACACTGGGTACTGCTCTTTTATTTTTTCCCCTCTATGCTTTATTTTACTATAACTATAATCATATAACATGTAATAGGAAAAAGGCAGGGTCAGGGGAGAGATCCAGAAGTCTTCCCAAGAGCCTTTCCAACATAGCCTCTGTAGACATTTTCTCTTTCTTCTTTTTTTTTTTTTTTTTTTTTTTTTTGAGACAGAGTCTCACTCTGTTGTCCAGGCTAGAGTGCAGTGGCATGATCTAGGCTCACTGCAACCTCCGCCTCCTGGGTTCAAGCAATTCTCCCACCTCAGCCTCCCTAGTAGCTGGGATTAGAGGCATGCATCACCACGCCTGGCTAATTTTTGTATTTTTAGTAGAGATGAGGTTTCACCATGTGGGCCAGGCTGGTCTTGAACTCCTGACCTCAAGTGATCCACCTGCCTTAGCCTCCCAAAGTGCTAGGATTACACGAGTGAGCCACCGTGCCCTGCCCCTATTACATTCTGATCACACATTTCATGTTTTATAATTGGAAAACTGGTGAAATTATAGACAATGTTTTGTTCCCCTAAATTCTCTTTGATGAGTATATATTACTTACACTCTTCTGTCTTTAAAATTTTGCAAAATAGTATCCTAGATAAGTTTTTGAGTGCACAGTCTGTACGCTTACTCATATTAATGACCTCGGAGAGTTAAACAACAGTCACCTTTAAAAATTATTACTATCATTATCATTATTTTTGAGGCGGGGGTCTCATTCTGTCTCCCAGGCTGGAGAGTAGTGGTGCGGTCACAGCTCACTGCAGCCACCGCTACCTGGGCTCAAGTGATCCTTCCTCCTCAGCCTTCTGAGTAGCTGAGACCACAGGCTTATGCTACCACACCTGGCTAATTTTTTAACTTTTTGTAGAGACGATGTCTCATTATGTTGCCCAGGCTGGTCTCAAACTCCTAAGCTCAAGTGATCTTCCTCAGCCTCCCAAAGTGCTGGGATTACAGGCATGAAAAACTGCACCCAGCCCTAAAAATTATTAGGGTCCTGCATAGTAAGACTTTAATAAATATTTAAATGAACATCTGTTTTTTTTTAAAAAAAAATAGAGACAAGGTCTCACTATATTGCCCAAGCTGGTCTTGAACTCCTGGACTCACGCAATCCTGCTGCCTTAGCCGCCCAAAGTGCTGGGATTACAGGCATGACCCACCTCATCTGGGCTGAGTGAACATATTTTTAACATAAAGGCCGTATTTTATATTTATCTCATACATTTTGCCCAGCATCCCCATTTCCGCCGAATCTGTTGCTTGCTAATTCCTTCCAGCTTCATTTCATCTGAAATTTGACAAACATCTTCTATTTCTTTGTCGTCATGTTATTGACTTCAGAATATAAAATAAAACACTATACCCAAATTAAACCCCACCCTCATTGCCCAGCCTGATGTGAAAATAATCAGCATACATTAAGCTTACCCTTGATATATGTGTAGCATCTTTTAGATAAATATACAGCTGATTAAGCAATATAGCCTGATGGTATAATATCTTGCCCATGTACCTCATCTTATCTCCAGCAGGATTAATTCACAGTGATCAGATTTACCTTTAAACTTTGTAGCAAAATATCCTCTCCAAAAGCATATCTAAAACTTTTGTGTGTACTCTTGCAAGTTTCTTAATTTCATGCAGAACAGGCTCTTACCACTGTTAGCTGGAGATATTTTCAAGACCTATTTTTGTTTGTGGTTTCCTGATGATGGTCATGGCATTTCCCCCTTCACTCCATCTAAAAATTGAGGTGATACAGGCTTTTAAACAAAACCAACTCATATAGACTGAGTACAACTGCAATGCAGGCATGCTAACCTCTGCTACAATCATGGGCGTGCTATTGATATGTCTTAAGTTACAGAACACAGGGCTGAGCGTCTCATTAGGTCAAAATGTAAACCAGTTTTTCTGCTCACTGATGCTTAATGAGGACAGGGTGTGAGAGATTTCTTTAAGGAAAACAAATATATAATAATGCTACATGGAAAAATATCTAACATTAGAGAATTAAGTAAATAAACTAATATACTCACACCATGGAATCTTGTGCAGACATTAAAATTATGTAGTGGATGGATGTTTAATGGTGTGAGAAAAAGTTAGGATGTGCTGGGGTGGGGGGAAGAATCAAGTTTTAAGAAAATACAGTATACCCATACTTAAGTAAAAAAAAAAAAAAAGGTATGTACAGTCATGTGTTGCTTAATGATGGGGATACATTCCGAGAAATGTGTCGATAGGTGATTTCATCCTTGTGTGAACATCATAGAGTGAACTTACACAAACCTAGATGGTCTAGCCTACTATGTATCTAGGCTATATGACTAGCCTGTTGCTCCTAGGCTACAAACCTGTAAAGCATGTTACTGTAGCGAATATACAAATACTTAACACAATGGCAAGCTATCATTGTGTTAAGTAGTTGTGTATCTAAACATATCTAAAACATAGAAAACTAATGTGTTGTGCTACAATGTTACAATGACTATGACATTGCTAGGCAATAGGAATTATAATTTTATCATTTTATGGAACCACACTTATATATGCGGTCCATGGTGGACCAAAACATCCTTATGTGGCATATGACTGTATACATGTACACAAAAAATAGATGAAAGAATGAATATACATCAAAATATTTAAAATGGTTATAATGACTTAGGTTACTTTTATTTATCTTAGTAATAATAATGATGATAGATAATACTTTTATAGTGTTTACTATATAAAAGACACTGTTATAAGTGTTCTACATACTTTACATGTATTACCTAAATGATATAAATATAACTCTGACAGTAACTAATCTTATACGTTCTCTTTTCTTTTTTTTTTTTTTCTTTTTTTAGACAGAATCTTGCTCTACCAGGCTGGAGTGCAGTGGTGCAATCTCGGCTCACTGCAACCTCCGCCTCCCAGGTTCAAACGATTCTCATGTCTCAGCCTCCTGAGTAGCTGGGACTACAGGCACACACCACCATGCCCGGCTAATTTTTGTATTTTTGGGTAGAGATGGAGTTTTGCCATGTTGGCCAGGCTGATCTTGAACTCCTGGCCTCAAGTGATCTGCCTGCCTCAGCCTCCCAAAGTGCTGGGATTACAGGTGTGAACCACTGTGCTCGGCCTAATCTTACAAGTTTTCAATATTTAAAGAGTGCTAACTTTGTTGACAATATAAAACATATTTGAGAAAAAGAGATATAAGCATCTTATTTAGAATTATGAAAATATCAATAGACCTACAGCCGACTAAAGCTTTTCTTCATAAGCTCTTGCCTATATTGATTCGCTCCTGTGAATATGCATTAATTTGATTTAAATAATAAGTATGTATAAGAAATAACACTTTTCCTTAATTTTTAAGAACGTTCAACAGTTTTTAATTTGAATTCCAATAGTGAAATACATAGAAAATATAAAATTTTCTGTAGTTTAGCCAAATTGTTTTTGTTTCACCACAGCATTCTACCAAAATTTCTTAATAACAGTAAGAAAATGAATGCATACCTCCTGCAGGGAGAGGGGAGTTAGGCAGTTTATGGGCATAGTTACAAGTGAGAAATTTCATTGGCTACCATTTATGCTAAATTCATAAAAACTGCATTCAATTCTATATATCTATTTTCTTTACATAAAAAAGGTTTCAATTATTGGCCATTAAATAAAATAGCCACCATTCCAGAAGTTGTGTCATGTTTATCCTTTTTATACCACCATCATATTGCCTAGTATATAGATTGTGTGTGTTCCATTTTCTGTAATGGGCCAGACAGTAAGTATTTCTGGCTTTGGAGTCCATATGGTCTCTATCATAACTACTCATCCCTGCCATTGTAGCTTAAAGATTATCTAGGTCAAATGCCTAAGTGATATAGTGTTGAAATACAAGTTATATAATATAGGCTGCCACAAAAAAAAATTTATTTGGTCTAAAAAAGATTTCATGACTTTTGTAGCAGCATGGGTGGGGCATGCACCACTTGGTTAACTCGGTGTATCTTTCTCCTTTGCAGATCTGTCCAACTCAATGGTCTAACTCTAAAGATGGTGGATGATCAAACCTTGCCACCTTTAATGGAAAAACCTCTCCGGCCAGGAAGTTCACTGGGCTTGCCAGCTTTCTCATATAGTTTTTTTGTGATAAGAAATGCCAAAGTTGCTGCTTGCATCTGAAAATAAAATATACTAGTCCTGACACTGAATTTTTCAAGTATACTAAGAGTAAAGCAACTCAAGTTATAGGAAAGGAAGCAGATACCTTGCAAAGCAACTAGTGGGTGCTTGAGAGACACTGGGACACTGTCAGTGCTAGATTTAGCACAGTATTTTGATCTCGCTAGGTAGAACACTGCTAATAATAATAGCTAATAATACCTTGTTCCAAATACTGCTTAGCATTTTGCATGTTTTACTTTTATCTAAAGTTTTGTTTTGTTTTATTATTTATTTATTTATTTATTTTGAGACAGAATCTCTCTCTGTCACCCAGGCTGGAGTGCCATGGTGCGATCTTGGCTCACTGCAACTTTAAGCAATTCTCCTGCCTCAGCTTCCTGAGTAGCTGGGATTATAGGCGTGTGCCACCACGCCCAGCTACTTTCTATATTTTTTGTAGAGATGGAGTTTCGCCATATTGGCCAAGCTGGTCTCGAACTCCTGTCCTCGAACTCCTGTCCTCAAGTGATCCACCCGCCTCAGCCTCTCAAAGTGCTGGGATTACAGGTGTGAGCCACCACACCCAGCAGTGTTTTATTTTTGAGACAGGGTATCATTCTGTTGCCCAGGCTTGAGTGCAGTGGTGCAATCATAGATCACTGCAGCCTTTTAACTCCTGGGCTCAAGTCATCCTCCTGCTTAGCCTCCCAAGTAGCTAGGACCACAGACACATGCCATCACACTTGGCTATTTTTAAAAAATTTTTTGTAGAGATGGGGTCTCGCTATGTTACCCAAACTGGTCCTGAACTCCTGGACTCAATTGATCCTCCCACCTTGGCCTTCCAGGTGCTGGGATTTCTTTGGGAGTACAGCATGGTACAGCAGGAGATCATTTGATGTTACCTCTGTGCAGTGTTGCTAGTCAGCGAAAGACTATAATACCTGTGGGGACAGCGATTAGCCACCACAACCAGTCTTTATTTAAAGTTATTAAAAATGGCTGGGCGCAGTGGCTCACACCTGTAATCCTAGCACTTTGGGAGGCCGAGGCAGATGGATCACCTGACGTGAGGAATTTGATACCAGCCTGGCCAACATGGTGAAACCCCATCTCTACTAAAAAATACAAAAATTAGCTGGGTGTGGTCCTGTAGTCCCAGCTACTTGGGAGGCTGGGGCAGGAGAATTACTTGAACCCAGGAGGCAGAGGTTGCAGTGAGCCGAGATTGTGCCACTGCACTCCAGCCTGGGTGACAGAGAGAGATTCCATCTCAAAAAAACAAGTTATTAAAAATGTATATGAATGCTCCTAATATGGTCAGGAAGCAAGGAAGCGAAGGATATATTATGAGTTTTAAGAAGGTGCTTAGCTGTATATTTATCTTTCAAAATGTATTAGAAGATTTTAGAATTCTTTCCTTCATGTGCCATCTCTACAGGCACCCATCAGAAAAAGCATACTGCCGTTACCGTGAAACTGGTTGTAAAAGAGAAACTATCTATTTGCACCTTAAAAGACAGCTAGATTTTGCTGATTTTCTTCTTTCGGTTTTCTTTGTCAGCAATAATATGTGAGAGGACAGATTGTTAGATATGATAGTATAAAAAATGGTTAATGACAATTCAGAGGCGAGGAGATTCTGTAAACTTAAAATTACTATAAATGAAATTGATTTGTCAAGAGGATAAATTTTAGAAAACACCCAATACCTTATAACTGTCTGTTAATGCTTGCTTTTTCTCTACCTTTCTTCCTTGTTTCAGTTGGGAAGCTTTTGGCTGCAAGTAACAGAAACTCCTAATTCAAATGGCTTAAGCAATAAGGAAATGTATATTCCCACATAACTAGACGTTCAAACAGGCCAGGCTCCAGCACTTCAGTACGTCACCAGGGATCTGGGTTCTTCCCAGCTCTCTGCTCTGCCATCTTTAGCGCTGGCTTCATTCTCAGACTCTGGTAGCATGATGGCTGTAGCTGTTTCATGGGCCCCTTCAAACCTCATAGCAACCAGAGGAAGAAAATGAGCCATTTTTTGAGTCTCCTTCATAGACTTGAATAACTCTTTTTCAGAGCTTCTCACAGCAAACCTCTCCTCATGTCTCCTCATGTCTTATTGTTCAGAAATGGGTAATGTGGCCATTTCACCAGTCACTGCCAACAACAACGAGGTTCCTATAATTGTCTCTGAGTAACCCTTTGGAATGGAGAGGGTGTTGGTCAGTCTACAAACTGAACACTGCAGTTCTGCGCTTTTTACCAGTGAAAAAATGTAATTATTTTCCCCTCTTAAGGATTAATATTCTTCAAATGTATGCCTGTTATGGATATAGTATCTTTAAAATTTTTTATTTTAATAGCTTTAGGGGTACACACTTTTTGCTTACAGGGGTGAATTGTGTAGTGGTGAAGACTCGGCTTTTAATGTACTTGTCACCTGAGTGATGTACATTGTACCCAATAGGTAATTTTTCATCCATTACCCTCCTTCCGCCCTCTTCCCTTCTGAGTCTCCAACATCCCTTATACCACTGTGTATGTTCTTGTGTACCTACAGCTAAGCTTCCACTTATAAGTGAGAACATGCAGTATTTGGTTTTCCATTCCTGAGTTACTTCCCTTAGGATAACAGCCCCCAGTTCCGTCCAAGTTGCTGCAAAATACATTATTCTTCTTTATGGCTGAGTAATAGTCCATGGTACATATATACCACATTTTCTTTATCCACTTATCAGTTGATGGACACTTAGGTTAATTCCATTCAATTTCATTCAATTTAAGTATATTTGTAAGGAGCTAAAGCTGAAAATTAAATTTTAGATCTTTCAATACTCTTAAATTTTATATGTAAGTGGTTTTTATATTTTCACATTTGAAATAAAGTAATTTTTATAATCTTGATATTGTATGACTATTCTTTTAGTAATGTAAAGCCTACAGACTCCTACATTTGGAAGCCTTGTTTTCCTTCACTGCTTTGTTTATACCTGGAAACAGGATATAGAACCACTAGTGTGTTGTTTCACCCCTTGTTATACTATCAGGATCAGAAGTGGGGGTTTTCCAATGCACAGTCTGAGACAAGGACTTGGGTCAGGTGGGTTATTTGGGAATAAGGAATGAAAGAACAGGGAGTGTGAGAGGGAAGTGAAGAAAAAACCAATATTAATTTTTGCTGTTGAGTTTGCTGCTGTGGGCAATGAGCGTTCAGTTCCACCAGCACTACCAAGAATTGTAGGGGATGCCTCCCAAAATTTGTCTCTTATTATTCTCTTATTTCTCATCAGCTATCATTTTATAGTCACATTATTGTCAATTACAATTTCTACAAAGAACACCAGTTTCACATAAAATTATTTTAAGGCCGGAAGCAATTATAGTTAATGATTGTATTTGTTAAGCTTGAAAGTCACTTTAACGTCTCATTTGGGAGTCAAACGATAAATATTTTCTTTTCTATTCTCTCTTTTTTTGAGAAAGGGTCTCACTCTGTCACCCAGTCTGGAGTGCAGTGGTATGGCATGCTCATGGCTCACTGCAGCCTAGGCCTCCTGGGCTCAACCCACCTCAGCCTCCCTAGTAGCTGGGACTACAAGTGCATGCCACCATGCATTTTTGTATTTTTTGTAAAGACAGTGTTTTGATATGTTGCTCAGGCTGGTCTTGAACTCCATGGCTCAAGTGATCTGCCTGCCTCAGCCTCCCATAGTATTGGGATTACAGGCATAAGCCACCACACCTGACCAATAAATATTGTTTAAACCTAAAACACCTTCTCTAGGGCCAACCACAAAAATCAGATGAAACATAGTAGAGACGAAAAATATGAATGTAGAAGTGCTTCAAACATGTAAATCTGCTAAAATGAAGGGTACATGTAAAGTGGAATGAATGTTCTGGTTGACGCACCATTTAAACAAATATTTGTGGGATGAATGAATTTATTCTCCATCCACTAGGTGCAACATTTCTGCATTAGCGTTCTCTAGAGAAGAGAAACAGTACCAATAGGATATATATAAAGATATAAAGAGTTTTTTTTTTTTTTTTTTTGGAGACAGAGTCTTGCTCTGTCACCCAGGCTGGAGTGCAGTGGCGTAATCTCGGCTCACTGCAAGCTCTGCCTCCCGGGTTCACACCATTCTCCTGCCTCAGCCTCCCCAGTAGCTGGGACTACAGGCGTCCGCCACCAAGCCCGGCTAATTTTTTTGTATTTTTAGTAGAGATGGGGTTTCACCATGTTAGCCAGGATGGTCTCAATCTCCTGACCTGGTGATCCGCCCACCTCAGCCTCCCAAAGTGCTGGGATTACAGGTGTGAGTCACTGCGCCCAGCTGATTTATTTTAAGGAATTAGTTCAAGCAATTATGGAGGCTGCTGAATCCAAAATCTGCAGGGTAGGCTAGCTGGCAGGCTGGAGACCCAGGAAAGGACCGATGTTGCAGTTGAAGTCCAAGTCCAAAGGCCATTTGCTGGGAGAATTCCTTCTTGCCTGAGGTAGGTCAGTCTTTTGTTCTATTCAGGCCTTCAGCAGATTGGATGAAGCCCACCCACATTATGGAGGGCAATCTGCTTTACTCAAAATCCGCCAATTTAAATGTTAATTTCATCCTAAAACACCCTGTATTAGTCTGCCCTCATGCAGCTAATAAAGACATACTTCAGACTGGGTAATTTATAAAGGAAAGAGCTTTAATTAACTTACAATTCCACATGGCTTGAGAGGCCTCACAATCATGGCAGAAGTTGAAGGAGGAGCAAAGGCACATCTTACATGGTGGCAGGCAAGAGAGCTTGTGCTGGGGAACTCCCCTTTATAAAACCATCAGTTCTCATGAGACGTATTCACTATCATGAGAACAACACAGGAAAGACCCACCCCCATTATTCAATTACCTCCCACTGGGTCCCTCCCACAACACATGGGAATTATGGGAGCTACAGTTCAAGATGAGATTTGGGTGGGGACACAGAAAAACAGTATCATTCCGCCCTTGGCCCCTCCCAAATCTCATGTCCTCACATTTCAAAATCAATCATACCTTCCCACAGTCCTCCAAAGTGTTAACTCATTTCAGCATTAACTCAAAAGTCCACAGTCCAAAGTCTCATCTGAGACAAGGTAAGTCCCTTCCCCCTATGAGCCTATAAAATCAAAAGCAAATTAGTTACTTCCTAGATACAATGGAGGTACAGGCATTGGATAAACACACCTGTTCCAAATGAAAGAAATTGGCCAAAACGAAGGGGCTACAGGTCCCATACAAATCTGAAATCCAGCAGGGCAGCCAAATCTTAAAGCTCCAAAATGATCTCCTTTGACTCCATGTCTTACATCCAGGTCACACTGATGCAAAAGGTGGGTTCCCATGGTCTTGGGCAGCCCCAGCCTGTGGCTTTGCAGGGTGCAGCCCCTCTCCTGACTGCTTTCATGAGCTGGCATTAACTGACTAAAGCTTTTCCAGGTGTGCAATGCAAGCTGTCAGTGTATCTACCATTCTGGGGTCTGAAGGATGGTGGCTCTCTTCTCACAGCTCCACTATGCAGTGCCCCAGTGGGGACTCTGTGTGGGGGTCCACACCACACATTTCCCTTCTGCATTGCCCTAGCAGAAGTTCTCTTATGAGGGCTCTGCCCCTGTAGCAGACCTTTGCCTGGACATCCAGGCATTTCCATACAACCTCTGAAATCTAGGCAGAGGTCCCCAAACATCACTTCTTGACTTCTGTGCGCCCTCAGGCACAACAACACATGTAAGCCACCAAGGTTTGGGGCTCGCACCCTCTGATGCAATGGGTTGAGCTGTACGTTGGCCTCTTTTTGCCACAGCTGGGATGCAGGACACCAAGTCCCAAGACTGCACAAAGCAGCAAGGCCCTGGGCCTGGCCCACAAAACCATTTTTCCTTCCTAGGCCTCCTGGCTTGTGATGGGAGGGGCTGCCATGAAGACCTCTGACATGCCCTGAGACATTTTCCCCATTGTCTTGGTGATTCACATTTGGCTCCTCATTACTTATGCAAATTTCTGCAGCCCCCTTGAATTTCTCCTCAGAAAATGGGTTTTTCCTTTCTATCGTATCATCAGGCTGCAAATTTTCTGAACTTTTATGTTGTGCTTCCCTTTTGAACACAAGTTCCAATTCCAAACCATATCTTTGTGAATACATAAAACTAAATGCTTTTAACAGTACCCAAGTTACCTCTGGAATGCTTTGTTGCTTACAAATTTCTTCTGCCAGATTCCCTAAATCATCTCTTTCAAGTTCAAAGTTTCACAAATCTCTAGGGCAGAGGCAAAATGCCACCAGTCTTTTTGCTAAAATATAGCAAGAGTCACCTTTGCTCTAGTTCCCAAGTTCCTCATCTCCATCTGAGACTACCTCAGCCTGGACTTTACTGTCCATATCACTGTCAGCATTTTGGTCAAAGCCATTCAACAAATCTCTAGGAAGTTCCAAACTTTCCCACATCTTCCTGCCTTCTGAGCCCTCCAAACTGTCTGTTATCCAGTTCCAAAGTTGCTTTCACATTTTCGGGTATCTTTACATCAGCACCCCACTATACCAGTACCAATTTACTGTATTAGTCTGTTCTGATGCTGCTAATAAAGACATACCTGAGACTGAGTAACTTATAAAGGAAAGAGATTTAAGTGACTTACAGTTCCACATGGCTGGGGAGGCATCACAATCATGAAGTTGAAGGAGGAGCAAAGGCACATCTTAACGTGGCAGCAGGCAAGAGAACTTGTGTAGGGGAACTCCCCTTTATAAAACCATCAGATCTTGTGAGACTTGTTCACTATCTTAAGAACAGCATGGGAAAGACCTGTCCCCATGATTCAATTACCTCCCACTGGGTCCCTCCCATGACAGATGGGAATTTATGGAGGCTACAATTCAAAATGAGATTTGGATGGGGACACAGCCAAACCATATCACACCTTCATAGAAACAACCAGAATAATGGTTTACTTGTCTAGTTTTTTTGAGACAGGGTCTTGCTCTGTCACCTAGGCCAGAATGCAGTGGTGTGCACTGCAACCTTGACCGCTCGGGCTCAAGTGATCCTCCTACCTCAGCCTCCTGAGCAGCTGGGACTAAAGGAGTGCACCACCAAGCCCAGCTAATTTTTTTAAAGATTTTTGTAGCGATGAGGTCTCACTTTGTTGCACAGACTGGTCTTGAACTCCTGGGCTCAAGCAATCCTGCCTCAGCTTCCCAAAATGTTGAGATGACAAGTGTAAGCTACCAACCTGAGCTTCATAAGCCTCTTAACTAATATCCCTACTTATCTCACTGCTTGCCTACAGTTTACTCTCAACCCAGTATTGAGAGTAATTATTTAAAATATAAGTCAGTATGAGACAAGAACTATGAGAGGAAAATAAAATAAAATAGAAGTCAGGTCATGTCTCTGTTCTGTTCACAATCCTCCAATGGCTCCCTCTTATTTCACTTAGAGAAAAGCCAAAGTCCTTACCACGGTATGTAAGACCCCACACAACCTGGTCCCTAGTCCTCTCTGCTCTCATCCCTGATCTCTCTCCCTTTTGCTCACTCTACTCTATCCACACTGGCCTCCTTGCTCTTATTAAGAAAACACTTCAAGCTTGCTCCCATCTTAGGGCCCTTGCACTAGACATCCCTCTAAGAGTATCTAGTGATATTCTTCCCTCAGATCTCTCATAGCTACTCCCTTATCTCCTTCAAGTCTTTGAGAAAGTGAGATCAGGGCTGTCCTACCACCCCAATTACCATATTTAAGTATACATACAGCCTGTCCCTACTTTTCCCTGTTACTCTTCTTTTCTCCATACCACTTACCACCTTCGAACATACTGCAAAATCTATTTGATTACCTTTTTCAGTCCTTGTGATGTGGGGAGGGGTTGTCTTGTTTCCAAAGCCTTGTCAGTCATTGTAATTCATTCTTCTGGCCACCATAAAAAAGATGAGAGGTTTATTATTTGTTTTTTTGAGACAGGGTCTCACTCTGTCACCCAGGCTGGAGTGCAGTGGCATGACCATGGCTCACAAAGCCTCAACCTCGGGGGCTCAAGCAATCCTCCCACTTCAGCCTCCCAAGTAGCTGAGACCACAGGCATATGCCATTATTCTCAGCTAATTTTTGAATTTTTAGTAGAGATGAGGTCTCACTATGTTGCCTAGACTGGTCCTGAGTTCCTGGGCTCAAGCAATTCTCTCACCTGGGTCTCTCAAGTGTTGGGATCACAGGTGTGAGCCACAGTGCCTGGCCAGAATAATTTTTGACCAAATGTTTTGGCACTATGGCCTAGCCAAATTGACATGTAAAATTAACCATTTCAGTTCCTGTGGGTAATAGGTTTAAAACAAAATGAGTTCCTGCCCAATCCAAAATGAGGAATTGGCGTTGTGTACATGTACCCTAAAACTTAAAGTATAATAATAATAAAATTTTAAAAAAAAAGAAAGTCACTTCAAAAAAAACAAAAAACAAAATGAGGAATCGGAGCCTTACAGGCCCTTTTAGAGAAAGCCTAGTCCCTTCCTTTTCTGAAGAGTTTGCAGCAGTTAAATGGCTTTCCCAAGGGCATACTGTGCCTTGGCATTAGTCTAGAGGAGACTCCTGAAAGTTAGGGCTCTACTCTATGTGACTGTTCTCTTGTCCTACAAATTAGCAGAGTGACATGTGGGTACCCATCTCAGTTTCCTGTGCACTTTAATTGGACCAAATATCTTAGGATTGAATCACCTCTGGGCAGGGTCAGCATCATGGGTACATGTGCAGTCACCCAGGGCCTACGCTAAGAAGGACCTTGTACTTGGTTTAATGTCCTGCTGTTGCCATCTTGAAATTCTTAATATATTTTTTTAAACAAAGAGTTTGGACCTATATTGGAAAGTCATGGATGCAATACATGACTGATATTACACCCTTTTCAGGTTTGAGTCAGATCTAAATCATCTCCAATCTAACAACTAGGAGTGTTACTAAATTGCCTGCTGGCCTTTATTCTTTGCAGGCAGGAGAAAGGCTAGGTACCCCCTGCCTCATTGCACCAAAGTGGCCAGGCATCCAACTTGCTGTACTTGAGCCATGCAAGAAGTCACAGAATCATTGTACATGTTTTACAGAAAGGAGCCTAAAGACTAAGTCAACTTCCTAGAATATTAAAATCCAGATGAGTGACTTGCCTAGGGTTACTCAGTGAGAGGTTAAATGAGTTGATACATGTAAAGTGCCTGGCACACAGCGATATACAGAGTTGCTTATGAATAAGAGTACTGACCATCTGAGGCAGGAGGATCTCTTTAGCCCAGCTGTTCAAGACCAACCTGGGCAATATAGTGAGACCTCCTCTCTATGAAAAATTAAAAATTAGCCAGCCACGGTGGCTCGTGTCTGTGGTCCCAGATATTTAGAATGCTGAGATGGGAGGATCGATTGAGCCCAAGAGGTGGAGGCTGCAGTGAGCCATGATCCCTCCACTGGTCTCCAGCCTGGATGACAGAGCAAGACTCTGCTGACCAGACTTTTCAGCTTCAGGTTCTTAGCATCACACATGCTGGTTGTCTACTGATTACAAAAACTCCTTTGAAGGGCTGTCAAATTTAAAATTTTCACTTGTGTAATGAACATCCCTTAACCCTGAATGCGATTTTAATTTACAGTCTTGTATGTGGCCACTTGGTGCCCTTTTTTTTTTTTATGGCTAAACGTGTACGCAAATTCTTCTTTTGGATTCAGTAGGTTTTTCAAAGCTTTTTTTTTTTTTTCCTGGTACAACTGTTCCATATGAATAAACACTATCCTTTTCATTTTATGGAGAAAGCTGATAATAGGGTTAAATTATAGGGGGCCATTGTTTTGAACTAAGTTCCTGCACTAGGTCCCAACAGATCAGACTAAGAATCAAGAGTCACCCATGCTAAAGTTCCAAGTCACCAAACTAAAACTAAGTTGTATCTGACATTCTGAGAAGTCAGGAAAGAGAGACAACAGCCAATTTTCCAACCAGGCCATTTCAAAATGCAATCGTCATGACAATTAAGTTTCCTGTTTTAGTCCTTAACCTGGTGTAACCTAATGTTAACCAATCCGTTATTTCTCTGTTGTTGTTTCCCTGTCCCCGCCTCGCAATGAAAGTAATTTGAAGTGACCAATCCGCTTTTTGTTCTCTGCTTCTGCTTTCTTCAGCCCTTTTTCTGTCTATAAAGCCAACTTCCTCCGCTCGACTCTTTGGAACACTTATTCTATTTTACAGAATAAGGTGTTGCCCGATTCTATTTTTTGTTTGTTTCCTCAGAGACCCCGTTCTGAGTGTTGCCCGATAATGGAACCACAAAGTCAATCAAGATCGAGTTGTAAAAAATTACAACTAAATTTATTGTAATTTTTTTGCCTTTTGCCAATAGAAATCCCTTTTTCATTAAGTATTCCTCCCTAGAGTAAGCGACCACGATGACCCCAATTTCACAAGTAAGGATGAGGAAAGGTTCTGCCCACACCGCCGCCCAGCCTGGCAGACTAGGATTGCATCCTGCGGGTGCCACTGCGCATGCCTGCCGGGGAATGACGTCAATCCGAGCTCGTCCCGGCCTCACCAGCGCCATGCTGGGCTCGCGAGCCGCGGGGTTCGCGCGGGGCCTGCGGGCTGTGGCACTGGCGTGGCTGCCGGGCTGGCGGGGCCGCTCCTTCGCCCTGGCGCGTGCGGCAGGCGCGCCCCACGGTGGTGACTTGCAGCCCCCCGCCTGTCCCGAGCCGCGCGGGCGCCAGCTCAGTTTGTCCGCGGCGGCGGTGGTGGACTCTGCGCCCCGCCCCCTGCAGCCGTACTTGCGCCTCATGCGGTTGGACAAGCCCATTGGTGAGTGCGGGCGGGCGGGCAGCCCGGGAATTTGCAAGTAGCAGCCTCCGAGTCGGCTCCGCGGAGCTGTCCGCGGCGGCCGGCCGGGGCGTGATGGAAATGAGAACCTGAAAGCTTGGGCTTGGCTGCCGGGTGCCGTGCGCCCTGGGGCGAATCACCTCGGGACACTTTGAAATGAGAGCCTGAAAGCTTGAGCTTGGCTGCCGGCTGCCGTGCGCCCTGGGGCGAGTCACCTCAGGACACGCAGTCGGGACAGTCTCCTAAAGGACCCGCCAGTTTCACGTCTGTCTGCATCCTGAGCACCTGAAGCGGGCAAGATAATTCTCATTCCACAAACACTTGTTTAAATGGTGACTCAAGCGGAAGGTTCCGTTCTCGTGGCCCTCCTTCATTTATTAGAATGTTTGATCCTCCCCGCAATCTTGTAAGGCCCACAAAGACAATCCTTAAGACAGTTAAGACGCTGAGGAAACTAAGGCTCCTCGTCAGAGCCAGACCAGAAGAACTCTGTGTTTTGATGCTGAGTCGGAGCTCTTTTACCTGCATCACCCATAAGGCAAAGATTTAATTCATTTGAACGCAGCAGGGACAGCGCTTACGGACTGCCTGTCAGCTTACAATCGCCCCCGACAGAAAGATTTTCCTGACCTTCCTATCTTAATTAACACCTACCAACCTCACTTTCTATCGCTTTATCCGCAATTTTTCTTAATAGCACTCACCACTAACTAACCTTATGCGCTTGTTGATTGATTGGCTTCTCCAGTAGTGTTAAGTGAATTAATAAGTTCCTACTACGTTGTCCGGCCATAGAGATAGAAAAAGCTATGGAAACCCTTTGCTTTCAAGGAACTCTGGTCTAGTTGAAAAAGACTATTTGGTGAGCTAGGAAAATATGGATCAAATATGAGTGATACAAAAGCAAGTGCTACAGGAAAAAGAGAAATTACTGTGGATCCCTTGCTGGAAAGTTTCGAGAAGAAATTATACTCCAAAGGACAAGTTGATTTTGCAGAGGAGGGAAGAGATCTTAGTGCGGGAAGTACTTTTGCAAAGACCCAAGGGTGGAGTGTTAGAACACTAAGAATACGAGCCTGACCTGGAACACCAAGTGGGTGTGGAAAATGGGAAACGAGACTAGACAAGAACATATCTGAAGAAGCTGGATAGCGTGGAGGAAGAAGTGAAGGATGAACTCCAGCCAATCTAGATGATGACATTTGCCATTGCAGTGTATGGAGATGTAGTCAAAGGCCTAGGTACATTTACTCCACTTTTGCCCGTACAAGACCCGAATTAGGCCTTGCTTTTGGTATTCTAGATTTATGCACGACCTATTTGGGATTAGAGCACTAAGTTATAACAATCAGCTATCAAAGCATAAAAGCCTACTGAATGATAGGTACAGCCCTGCCATCATTGGGAAGCTGTGTATGACCCCCATGAGTTTTGGGGCCACATTCACGTTGAGAGGCATGCATTTCCAAGCCCAGTTCCAATCTGAAGCCTGGCTGTAATTCTGTTCTTGGAGTCTGTGGCATGGAGTGGCAGTGTAGCCTTATAGATGAACATCTGCCATTATTCCCATTTCCCCAGTTAAACCTCTGGCTTCTATCTTAGTGGCTGGACCTTCCGCCATGTAACAGAAGGCAACAAAGGGGTTATGAGCAAAACTTTGGAGCCAAACCTCTTGGATGTGAACCTCCACCCTGCTCATCTGAGGGACCTTGGATAAATTACTTCACCTCTCTGGGCATCCGTTTTTCATCTGTAAAATGAAGATACTATTAATGATAATATGGACGTTATGAGGTCACGAAAATTCATTAATATATGTTAAGTGCTTAGAACAGTGCCTGTCATAATATGTGCTGAAGAAATAGCCATTATTATCTTAGAAGTGGGGAATGGAGAAAATTGTACTTACAGATTGTGTATGTTTGGAAGATACCAGCCTGCATGGTTTGGTTCTAAATAAGGTGATCATTACAGGATTTTTCAGAAAACTAAATAGTACTATGTTAGAATTCGCTCAACAAATGTATTTTGAACCCCTACCATATGCCAGAAACAATAATTGACAGGAGTAGAATTCCAGGTTTGATAATTCTTTATTTAAATTCTTATTTTGTGGGATAATTATGTGTTCGTTGTTTTACTTTGTTGAAGTTATATCTTGTTACCTTCATTGATCAATAGTAGGTTTTCGTTGTTTTTGAGAAGGCAATACAGCTTCTTTCAAATGGGCTAAACTACCTTATTCCAGAAAGTGTCAGCAGGTGGCACTCTTTCCACCAAATTGGAAGTGTAATTTTTTGTTTTACCACGTTTATGGGTGATTATGTTGTCTTGAAGATCATCTGTTTTTGATCTGTCCATCACCCCTCAGAACTTGCTCATTTTATTTCATCTCCCATAGAGTTTTTCCCTTTTCTACAAAAACATTTCTTTTTGCAATCTACTTGTCTCTTGTCTTTGCTACCTCTGCGTCTTTCTTCACAGAAAAGTATGGGGAATGAAAGTGTCATATGGAAGACAAAAAAAAAAAAACATTGCTAGGAATCAGTAGGGACAAAAGAACAGGTGAAACTGAAGTGTATGGAGAGATTTAGGGAGTACAGAGTGACAGCATTGGACTTAGGACACAGACTGCAGCCAGACTGTCTGGGTTGGAATACCACCTTAGCCTTTTTTTACCTGTGTGGTCTTGGGCACAATTACTCCCTCTCTGCGTCAGTTTCTGTATTTGTAAAATGGTTGTAATAAAAATAGTGCCTATCGAATAGGCTTGTTGTGAGAGTCAAAAGTGTTCTGTGAAACCACCTGGTACAGTAAGTGCCATGTATCTGTTATTACGGTTGTCATAACATCATTAATATTGTCATCTCTTAACGACTCTGTGAGGTAGCTGTTCTCTTCCCTCATTTACAGATGAAACAAAGACTTAAGCCTTAAGATACTTTACTGTCTAGTGTCACTCAACTTACAAGTGGCAGACATAGAACTGAGAAGTCTTCTTACTTTCCCCTTCACTGTAGGAACCCTTGTCATCTGTAGGGGAGCTCTACAGATTCCTATCAGTAAGTGAATACGGTACTTTTAATACAGATTTTTGGCCAAGGAAGTTTTGTTCCTGACAGAAAACACTATAAGTGGTTACACGTCTTTCTGTCTAGAATTTTTTTCTTTTTAGTGGAACCTTCTGTTCTAATTGTACCAGGAAATAATAGCTGTGAAGTGGTATTCTCTCTTCTCTAGCCTAGGAGGATAGGATCAGCTACTCCTCTGTCCCTTGTGAACTATACTCATAGCTCCAGGGTAAAGAAAGTAGTTAAACCTACTGTGTTTTACTTAAACCACTCTGTTTATCTGTTTCCTCATCTGTAAGATAGGGTTATTAACAGTACCTACTATGTAAAGATGTTACTTGGGAGGCTGAGGTGGAAGTATTGCTTGAGCCTGGAAGTCAGAAGCTGTAGTGAACTATGACCTTGTTACTGCACTCCAGCCTCGGCAAGAGAGCGAGACCCTGTCTCTAATGTAAATATATAAATAAATAAGTTTAATATAAAGATGTCATTGAAGATTAAATAAGTTTAGACATATAAAGCATTTAGAACACTGCCTGATGCTTTGTGAGCACTCCGTAAATATTAGCCATTGTTACTGTGGAGTGCACCAAGTATGAGTCTGTCCAGGACAACCTGAATTCAGGTCTGGACTGACCATTTCTCAAGGTTTTAGCTTGAGGCTTCTCCTTGACTTCTCTGTTGTGTAAATTTAGATCCCCTTTGGAAAAGACCCTCTGATTCCTCTCTCCCTCCTCCTAAAACTAGCTAACTAACTTAGATAGTTTTGTTTTATGCCTTTGCAGGACCCTGTGCTTGTCCTGTTGTTGGATTGATCTTTTATTGTTATTGCTTATTTAACTGTATTTCTTTCTTTTGATTTATGAGCTGCATGAAGGCAGAAGCCCCCTTTCTCTTAGCCACCATTGTATTCCCAGTTCTTAGCATAGTTCTGGCACAGAGTATATGCTTCATAAATATGTCTAAATGAATAAAGCTTAAACTTAGTGAAGCTTAAACATGATTACAGGGACTTTAGTCATTTGACCATTTTTCTTCAGGATCTGAACTTTCTTTAGCCCCAAATCCCTTTTCTCTTGTATCCCTCTATAGGGAAAGAAAGCTCAGAATTTATCTAATAGGCAGCATATCCAAACATCAGTTGAAAGACTTTCTTTTAGAAGTAGAATATTAAAGTTCATATTTGAAGTCTTTTATATAATCTATTTGCTTTTATCTTAATTTCCTCTAGTTTATTGGTTAAGTACTAAGAACTAACCCCATTTGTACATGTAGCTGCAAAGTACTCAGTTCAAAATAACAAAAAAACTAACACTTAAAATCCCAGCACTTTGGGAGGCCAAGGTGGGACGATTACTTGAGGCCAAGAGTTTGCAACTAGCCTGGGCAACATAATTCCCTGGGCATGGTGGCTTGCACCTGTAGTTCCAGCTACTGGGGAGGCGGAGGCAGGAGGATCACTTGAGCTCAGGAGTTTGAAGCCACAGTGAGCTACGATTATGCCATTGTACGCCAGCTTGGGTGACAGAGTGAGATGCTGTCTCAAAAAAAAAAAAAAAAAAGACTAGACCGTCTAAGTGTATTGTACTAACAATGGTAAAGGAAATTTTGCTAACTTTTTTGAGTAGGTAATGTGTGTATATGATACAATATTCAGAAGGTGCCAGGGTATAGAGTGAAAGGCAAGTCTCTTACTCCTGTCTCCTGTCCATGCAGTTCCCCTACTCAGAAGCAACCATTATTATATGTTTCTAGTGTGTTCTTCCTGACAGTCTTTGAGCATATTAACATTGACGCATGAATGTTTTATATGTAGGTACGTATATATATATATATTTATATACACATATAAACACACAATAAACAATTTTTAAGTTGTCCTTCACAAAGGTAGGGCCATTTTGTAACCTCATTAGAAATACATAAGAGTATTCAACTCCCTAGAGTGTGTTGTCAGATGTAGGGTTTTGCCAGTGATAGGTGAAAATTTTTATCTCAATTTAGTTTTCATATGTGTTTCTCAAAGTTGAGTATCTTTTCATATGTATAAGAGCCATTTGTATTTCTTTTTATGTGAATTTTTATTATGTTTTGTCTTTTTTAATTGGACTGTTGATCTCTTTCTTCTAGGCACTCTGCGTAGTAAGGGGTCCTTTGTGATTTGAGTTGCAAATTTATTTTCTCAGTTTTGTCATTTGTTTTTTTGACTTATAGTGTTCTTTATTTCTTTGGTATGTGATGTTTAAACAAATGAAAACAGTTAACTGACTTAAATTTGTACCTTTTTTGTCTTTTTATTTTTGCTTAGGAACCTGGCTTCTGTATTTACCATGTACCTGGAGCATTGGTTTGGCAGCTGAACCAGGTTGTTTTCCAGATTGGTACATGCTCTCCCTCTTTGGCACTGGAGCTATTCTGATGCGTGGAGCAGGCTGTACTATTAATGACATGTGGGACCAGGACTATGATAAAAAGGTAATTTCATCCTGAAAAGGAATAGAGAGGCTCTTCTCAATTCTGCAGAATAACATAGTGGTATCACTTTTGAATGCCATATAAAGCAACAAGATCATTCAGTGACCACAGAAATCCAGCATGGAAAATGCCAGGATCAGTTGAATAGCTGGTATTGCAAAGTGCAGAGTACAATATTTCCTTTCTCAACACAAGAGTGGCCCCAGGGGCAAGGTGTGTACTTTATTATTATAAAGTGAATTGAGAATTTGGAAGACTGAGGGTGAGGGAGTTAAAGGTTAGGAGTGAAAGTGAAAAATCCATCCTGAACCTTCAAGTGTCCAAAGATCTGTCATCCCTTCCTTTAAGATGTATTTTAGAGCCCTAACTATTCTTACGTAAATCAAGTGAATCAAGGCAGCACTTGTTAGTGTTTCCTATAATTGTTTCTTTTAAAAACATAACTTTACCCATTTTTTCTCCTTAGAAAAATAATACATGCTTGTTCTGAAAAATGTAGATAATATAGAATTGCAACCAATGAAAAGTGCAAGTTGTCCTTATCTCCTCCTCTTATCTCCTAGAGAAAACTTCGGTTAAGAACTTGATGCATTATTTTTCACTGGATTTTTTTTTTGTACCTGTTCTAATGCATGTGTATAATTATTTCCTTGTTCTTCAACAGACAGTTATTTTCTCAAGGAAAGGGGCCATCTTATTTGCCTTTTTATCTTAGCAACTATGCCATAATTAGTACAAGATCATTAAATGCTTGAGTAAATAATCAATTGAAATTTGATTTTAAAAGAAACCCACATTGAATTATAAAAAGTGAATAATCTTATATAAAGTTAATAATCGATCCTAGTTTACCTTTTATGTAGTCTGAATTTTCCTTAAGCAAGGCAGACCTATAATAATTTTTAGTTAATAGAATAGTGTTACGTGTGTGTGTGTGTGTGTGTGTGTGTGTGTGTGTGTGTGTGTGTGTGTGTTTTGAGATGGAGTTTCACTCTTGTTGCCCAGGCCTGGAGTGCAGTGGTGCGAGCTCAGCTCACCGCAACCTCCGCCTCCCAGGTTCAAGCGATTCTCCTGCCTCAGCCTCCTGAGTAGCTGGGGTTTCAGGCATGCACCACCATGCCCGGTTAATTTTGTATTTTTAGTAGAGACAGGGTTTCTCCACGTTGGTCAGGCTGGTCTCGAACTCCCGACTTCAGGTGATCCACCTGCCTCGGCCTCCCAAAGTGCTGGGATTACAGGCATGAGCCACCGCGCCTGGCCATTAATCTATTTTTTAATTCAAAAACATTTATTCAGTACTTGCTATGTGGAAGAACCAGTGGCAGGTTCTAGGATTGCATCGATGAAATACAACATTCCTGACATTCAGGGTTTAGTTATTATAAAACAGTAGAAGTCTTTTGAGAATAGTGTTCACCAGAGAACTTGCTGAAGACCACTTACCTCAACCTAAGGGAGAGGGTTAGAGATAACTTTCCAGGCCGGGGTGACCTTTGAACTCTGAAAGAATAGGATGGCAAAAAAAGAGTGGGCTAGAGGGTGAAGGTGTCTCTAGACAGAGGGAACAGCAGGTCCAGAGGCACGGCTGTGAGATGAGTATGCGTTTGATAGCAGCAACTACATGGTCTGTGTGTGGCTGGAGGATATGGGGTGTAGTAGAAGAGTGGCAGGAGCTGTATGGTAAAGCATTTCTCTGACACAACTGGGATGCCTTAATTTGCCAAGACATGCACACTGTCCTTTTTTTTTCTTTAAAAATGTTTTTGTTTTTATGGATTTAGGGGTACAGTTACAGTCAGGTTACATGGATATAGTGTGTAGTGGTGAAGTCTGGGCTTTTAGTGTACCCATATGTAGTATGACCTAATGGGCAGTATTTCATCCTGCACTCCCCTCCCACCCTCCCACCTTTTGGAGTCTCCAGTGTCTATTATTCCACTCTGTATGTCTCTGTGTACCCATTGTTTAACTCCCACTTATAAGTGAGAACATGTGGTTTTGACTTTCTGTTTCTGAGTAATTTCACTAAGAATAATAGCCTCCAGTTCCATCCATGTTGCTGCAAATGATGTGATTTTATTCTTTTTTATGGCCTTGTATTCCATGGTGTATATATACCACATTTTTTAATCTAGTCATCCATTGATGGACACTTTGGTTGATTCCACGACTTTGCTATTGTGAATAATGCTGTGATAAATGTATGAGTGCAGGTGTCTTTTTGGCAAAATGATTTCTTTTCCTGTGGGTAGATACCCACTAGTGGGATTGTTGAATTAGTAGTTCTGTTTTTAGTTCTTGAGAAATCTCCATGCTGTTTTCCATAGAGATTGTACTAATTTACAGCCCCACCAACTGTGTATAAGTGTTCCCCTTTCTCCACATCCTCACCAACATCTGTTTTTTGACTTTCTAATAGCCATTCTGACTGGCGTAGAAGATGGTATCTCATTGTGGTTTTAATTTGCATTTCTCTGATGATTAGTGATATCTGACTAAGTCCCCAAAAGGAAACACAACAGAAACAAAAATAGACAAATCAGACTTAATTGAACTAAAAAGCTTCTGCATAGCAAAAGAAATAATCAACAGAGCAAACAGACCACCTGCAGAATGGGAGAAAATATTTACAAACAATGCGTCCAACAAAGGGCTAATGTCTAGAATCTACAAGGAGCTCAAACAACAAGAAAAAAATAACCCCATTAAAAAGTAGGCAACGCACATGAACAGACATTTTTCAAAAGAAGACATACAAGCAACCAACAAACATATGAGATACACACTTTCTTGATTTGGAGGTTCACACATCCTGGTCAGTTTTATTCTGTACACTCTATATGTATATATATGAATATGTATATATATATTATATATAAAATATATATTATATATAATATATATTTTATATATTATATAAAAATATATATTATATATAATATATATTCTATATAAAAATATATATGAATGAGGCTTCTGGCATGTATCACTTCAAGATAATTCTTGAACATGTTAATAGTAGTTCTTCACTTTAAAAAATTTGTAGCTTAGTATAAGCCTTCCAGAAAATGAAAAATAGTCCCATAAATTAGTAACAGTTTATGAAGCATGGGTCTGTTTAGATAACTGAACATTTGAGATTAAATATTTGAAGGCAAACTGCAAAATTCTGAATTGCTTTATCTTATTTGGTAGACAGACTCTCCTCTAAACGTTTACATCCCACACTCTTGACTAGAGTTAAAACTAATTACATAGATTTTGACTTCTGCTTCCAGGAAGATGGAATAGATGTATTTTCCCTATTCTTTCCACTAAGTATGTCTAAAACACCTGGAGATTATACATAAAACAAACATAAGAGGACTGTGGAGAAAAGGTGGCAGACTGGCTAGGGACCTCAGGACCCAAAGAATTTCCTAGATTTTGTTTTTCTTCATATATCCCAGACTTGGAACTGAAGAAGCCAGAAATCTGGAAATGTCATTGGGCACAGATAGGAAAAAAATAAAAAATAATTAAAAAAAAAAAAGCCTACTTGGCAGGGGCCAGTGGAAACCAGGTTGGGAACGTGAGCTTGTAACCCCAGCTGGTAGCAATTAGGCAGCATCTCCCACCCCCTTCTTTTGCCAGAGCAGTGTCAAAAAAAGTCAACTGAAATAAAAGGTTTAAATAAGATTCATAGTCTCATGACATAATACTTAAATGTCCAGATTTCAGTTAAGAATCATTTGTCATACCAAAAACTAGGAAAATCTCAACTTGAGTGAAAAAAAGACAATCAGCAGATGAACAACACTGAGATAGCAGAGATGTTAGGATTTCTTAGAAAGATTTTTAAAGCAGCAATCATAAATATGCTTCAGTGAGCAATTACAAACATTCTTGAAACAAATGAAAAATACCACCTCTCAGCCAAGAAATAGAAAATATAAAGGAGAACCAAATGGAAATTTTAGAAGTGAAAGATATAATAATTGTAATAATAATTCAGTGGATGGGCCCAACAGCAGAATGGAGGGGACAGAGGAAGGAATCAGTGAACTGGAGATAGAATAATAGAAATGACACCATCTGGAAAACAGAAAATAGACTGAAAAATTGAAGACCTTTGAACTATAACAAATGATCTAATATTTGTTTCATGAGTCTTGGAAAAACAGGAGAAAGGGGTTGGGGCTGAAAAATGATTGAAGAAATATTGGCTGTAAAAGCCCCAAATTTAGCAAAAGACATAAACCTACATATTTAAGAAGGTGAGCAACCTCCAGACACGATAAACACACAGAATCCTCACCTTAATACATTATAGTCAAACTTCTGAAAACTAAAGAAAATTTTAAAATCTTGAAAGCTGTGAGAAATACGAAAAGCACAACCCATAATAGGAAAAATTGAATTTGCACATCAACAAATTTTTATCTGTTAAGGACCCCGTTAAGAAGATTAAAAGGGCTGGGCACCGTGGCTCACGCTTATAATCCTGCCACTTTGGGAAGCCAAGGCAGGTGGATCACTTGAGGTCAGGAGTTCGAAACCAGCTTGGCCAATATGGTAAAACCTTGTCTTTACTAAAAATACAAAAAATTAGCCAGGGGTGGTGGTGGATGCCTGTAATCCCAGCTACTTGGGAGGCTGAGACAGGAGAATCACTTGAACCCGGGAGGCAGAGGTTGCAGTGAGCTGAGATTGTGCCACTTCGTAAATATTTTAGGCTTTCTCTGTGGAAATTGAACATGTTATAGCTAAATAGCTGATAAGGAAGTTGCTTTGTTTTTTATTTATTTATTTATTTGACACAGGGTTGCTGTGTCACCCATGCTGGAGAGCTTGGTGCAATCATGACTCACTGCAGCTTCAACCTCCTAGGCTCAAGCAATCCTCCTACCTCAGCCTCCCCAATAGCTGGGGCTACAGGCACACATCACCATACCTGGCTAATTTTTTTTTTTTTTTTTTTTTTTTTTGTAGAGACAGCGCCTCCTTATGTTGCCTAGTCTGGTCTTGAACTCATGGCCTCAAACAGTCCTCCCACCTCAGCCTCCCAAAGTGCTGGGATTACAGGCTTGAGCCACTGCACCCAGCCAGGAAGTTCCTTTGTTTTGTTTGTTTAGAGATGGGGATGGGAGAAAAGAGAATGAGTGATGGGAATTTTTAGTTCTTTTCAAAGCTATTTTAAATGTGAAGTTTTGATTTCTGACAGTACTTAAAATGTTGATTTCTCTCTTCATTCATATTTGTGCCTACCATGGGCCAGTCTCTTCATTAAATGTTTAAATAAATGATTGAGTCATTACATGAAGCTAAGGTATCTGTTTTTATGTTTTAAGGTTACAAGAACAGCCAATCGTCCAATAGCCGCTGGAGACATTTCAACTTTTCAGTCCTTTGTTTTTCTTGGGGGACAGCTAACCCTGGCACTGGGTGTTCTTCTGTGTCTAAATTACTACAGGTATATTAAACGTTTTCCACATCATGTATAAAATCTCTCCTTTGAAATGGAGAAAATAGGAATAAAATGAAATATCTTTATCACAAAGTTGTTCATTTGCTACTTATTAAGCATCTGTAAGTTAGCAAGTGTAAGTAACTCACCACACATTTTTAAATCTGCTTCAAGAATGCTTTCAGCCAAAGGAGTTAAGAAATGAACATTTAATTTGTTTTGAACCACCTTCAGTATTTGTACTACATTCCCTAAGGGACACAAGGCAATTTCATAGGTTTTCTAAGTGCGTGCATGGATGTGTGTGTATACACCCACACATATATAATTTTATTTATGTTGACAGTATCTCTAAAGTAGACTTAAAGCAGAAGTGATTATATTCATTTTGCAAAAAGAGGAACTATGTCTTTCCCAGGGTGGTGTTACTAATCAATGACTGAAGAAAGAAGTGGGAGGACTCATTCCTGTATCTCTTAAACAAGACAAAACGAAACTTTTGTGTATCAGATTGCGGTTTACAAAGTGCTTCAATGCGAGAGAAGAAAGACAAAAAGTTACTTTATGGAGACTAGACTTAATTGCGTGCCTTGCCCTGATAGCATCAATTACATGACAATACCTTTGGAAGGTTATTTCTGGAAGGGGTAGTGTTAGATAAACTTTGAGGTCCTAAGAACGTCTTATTTTATCACATTTTCATAGGTGTTTCCTTTTTTCTAGAAAAGTAACACTGCATCATATATATAAGGAGGGATATCTTGACTCTAATTATTAGTTAGGACATCTTAGTTTATTAGATGCCTTAATGTTTGCAAACAGTTCAGAGAGGCAGTAACATTTGGTAGTTAACATTTGGTGGTTGATAGGTTGGACTCTGGAGCCAGACTGCCTTAGGTTTGAATCTAGGCTCTTCTATGACTAGCTATATGACAATTAGCAAACTACTTAATTTCTTTGTGCTTCAGTTTTCCCATCTGCAAAAAAGGAAGAGAATAAAACTTTATATTATAATACCTGCCTTTTGGAGTCATTGTGAAGATTATAATGAATTAACAAGTGTGATTCACTTAGAATAGTGCTTAATACATGATAGTACTGTATGTGTTAGCTATTATTTTGTTTGATTGTTTTATAACATTTAAAGTAGTTTTCTACTCATCCTTTATAATAGGGAAAGTCGAAGGCTAGGAAGATAACTTACATAAAATATAATTTAAGATAAAATATATTTTCCAATTAGTATTACTTATGTCATTGTCTTAAAGTATTTCGTGGTTTCTAAGAGGTAGTGGTAATAATCACTTTAATGGTTTTTCCTCTTTTCAGTATAGCTCTGGGAGCAGGATCCTTACTTCTTGTCATCACCTACCCACTAATGAAAAGAATTTCATACTGGCCTCAACTAGCCTTGGGTGAGCTTACAATAACTAAAAGTATTTCCTTTGATATTTGCAAACTACACTTTTATGGAGAGATAGGTAAATAGGTAAAGATGAAATGACAAATCAGTCATGTAATTTTCCTAACCAATAGTAGATTTTCGTACTTTAAAGGAGAGCAGTTAGCTATTTTTATTAGTTCAGAAATATTGCATATTTATTAGGGTTATCATCATCATCATTATTTTTTCCTCTCCTCTCTCCCCCACTGCTCCCCTCCCCTACACTCTCCTCTCCCCTCTTCTCTGAGACAGGGTCTTGATCTGTTGCTCAGGCTGGAGTGCAGTGGCACCATCTCAGCTTACTGCAGCCTTGACCTCCCAGGCTCAAGTGATCCTCCCACCTCAGCCTCTTGAGTAGCTAGGATTACAGGCATTGACAACCCTGCCTGGCTAATTTTTGTATTTCTTGTAGAGACAGGGTTTCGCCATGTTGCCCAGGCTGGTCTCAAACCCCTGAGCTCAAGCGATCTGCCTGCCTTGGCTTCCCAAAGTGCTGGGATTATAGATGTGTGCCATCACGCCTGGCCATTGCTTTCTGAAATGCTTTTTTAAAAATCTAGGTATGTCATGAAAAAATGTTTGATCTAGATGCCCTGAAGAATTTGGGGGATGGGGTAGGAAGCACTCTGTGGCAGGAAAACAAGGGTTAAAGTGTATGTGATAGCTTAGACAGCTCGTATTCTGTGAAGCCTCTCAGGAAGAAGTTAGACAGTCTCTTCTGGGCTACCATAGGATTCTAATCCGGCACTTACTTATTTCAGCAGCATTAATTCAACCAAGAATACGTTGAGAGCCTCCTATGGTCTCCAGTTAATAAATTGTGGCCCAGCATTTAGCATAGCACTTGGTGCGGTGTAGGTATTGAATACATACTTGTTGGTGAAAAGAAAGAAACATAGTTAGGTAAGCAGGTATCAGAATCTGCTGCAAAAATATCTATTCCCAGACTTTTCTATTCTATTCCTAGAATGATTCTAGTTCTTTGAATCATTTTTTTCAGTAAATGAAAGAACTAAAAGCAACTCAAGAAATTGATGTGAGCCTGATTTGTGGGAAAGTTGTGGTAGAATATTTATCTTTTTCTAAGATCCTCTCATTGAATGTTCTCTTTATTAAATTTGAAATTATATTCTCAATATAAGCATTTCCTATCTATAAGATAATATTAAGAAGCTGGTATATTTACTCCAAACATTTACTGAACCCCTACATTTACTTCGTGCTAGGAATTGCAGCAGGTACTGGGAAAATAAAAATGACTAAAACACCCTGACCATCTTTAAGGAGTTGGAGATGGAGATGACAGATAAACAGGTCATTGCAGTACAACGTGTCAGGCAGGAGTGCTATGGGACCACAAAGGAGAGGCACTTCATCAGTTAAGGAGGGGACATGAGTGGAAATAGGTAATACAGGAGGAGAAAAGGGGTTTCTGAGAAAAGATATCTGGGACACATTGAGTTTAAGGTACATGAGCAACTTGCAGGCAGAGAAGTCCAGCAGACTGTTCAGTATGCAGTCTGGAGCTTAGGAGAGTTATCAGGCTTGCAAGTGGAGATTTGAGAGCTGTCAACATGTAGGTGTTTGTTTACAGTCCTCAGAGATGATGCCATTGTGGAATAGATCAGTGTTCGTATGTATATTCATGTTTCAGTAGCTGATAGGGGAGGCAGAGTGGTAACAGAAAGAACATGGGTTTTTGAGTCAGAGAGATGTAAGTTCAGATCCCAGCATCTTCTGTTATTGGTAGTGCCGTGCACCATATTAGGTGGGATAAATCTTCTCTTTAAACCTCCTATTTACTTAATTAGGGGATATTATTCTTTTTATTAGCTCTGTTACTTTAGTTGTTAATTAACCTCTCTGAGCTTGTTTTGTTTTTTGTAAAATGGAGCTAATAAGTACCACCGAGAGTTGAAAGGGTTTAAGGAAGGAACCCACAGAAAGCAGCACACACAGAGTCTGATACCCAGGAGCACTGAACACACTCCGATGCCACTCCTTCCCTTTAGGATTCTAAAGTACATACAGACTTTCCCCCTTTTTGTGTTTTGCTAATTGTAGGCTTGACATTTAATTGGGGAGCGTTACTTGGATGGTCTGCTATCAAGGGTTCCTGTGATCCATCTGTTTGCCTGCCTCTTTATTTTTCTGGAGTTATGTGGACACTAATATATGATACTATTTATGCCCATCAGGTAAAGAAATTATCTTTTCTTAACTTTGGTTTAGTTGTTGCTGTTTTTAAAGAACCAAATTAAGGAGAAAGCATTTTTTTCTAAAATTTGTTGTTGTTTTTTAAGAACTTTAAGAACCAAATTAAGGAGGAAGAATTTTTTTTTTCTAAAAAGAAAGTCATTCACAGTTCCATGGCTCCAACAAAATTTTTTTTATGTTTATGTGTGTTTACCAAAATTCAACTCATTTATTTTATTTACAAGCAATAAAGTAGTATTTACTATGTGCCAGGCACTGTTTTAAGTACTTTACAGACTTAATCCCCCAACAGTCTTTGAGGAAAGTACTTACATTATCCTCATTTAACAGAAGAGGAAATATGTGAAGAAGTATTTGTCCATGTCACACAGTTAGTGGGTGGCAGAACTGCGATTCAAACCCAGTGTTCAGAGACTGCTTTTAACCACTACATTCTTCTGTCCCTCTAATCATTGAATTATGCAACTTTTTTACTTGGTGTAGTTAGTGAACATTTTCCCATATTTTTACCAATTCTTTGTCATTGTCACTTTAAGACTATGGACTATGAGATAGTCCATGCCCCAATTTAACATGCCATAAATTCGATGTACCATAATTAAAAAAAAATTCACAGTTTCTCTATTTTGGCTACTTGTTTCTGAGTTTTCACAATTATAAGTAATATTGTTCTAATCATTAATACTTCTTGAATAGGAGTTTTTCAGTTAAATTTTTAGAAGTGGTATTATTGACTTAAAGGATTATATGCATTTTTATAGCTTTTGATATTGCCTTTTTGATAAATTCCATTTTAAAAACTCATTTTTTTCTTTTACATTTATAAACTCTCCCCCAGCTTTAATGAGAAGTAACTGACAAATAAAATTATGCATATTCAAGGTATACAGTGTGATGATTTGATAGTACATGTTCTGAGAATACATTTATAAACTTTTCAAAAAAGTTTTTCTCAGTATTTTTCTGAAATATGATTATATATTCTCAGTCATTTACTTGAAGAATATGTCTGGATTTCATTCTGTTTTCTTCCACTAAACCCCCTATGCCCTGCTACATTTGTAGTATCATGAAAAGGCGGATCTGTAATCAGTCTTACTTCCAAAGTGAAACTTGACTTACAGGTTAGAAGAGATGCCTGTACTTTTTGCGGTAAGGTCTGGAATGAGTGCTTAGGATACCAGTACTCCAATTAGATTAACAACTTCAGGAAAACACCACATACTCATTGGCACTTTTGTGGTTCACATAATAACTATAGACACAGTTTGCACCCTGAAGGTGATTCTAGTATGAAAGGAAAAACAGAAACACCCACAGTCATTGTTATTTGGATTTGGGCCCCAAAAGAGAGCCTGTCAGGTTGCTGTCTGCCGGTAGGTCAGTGCAGAGAGTTCAGCATACAGCCACTGATACTACGTGACCATCATTATTTACAACAGTATATGGAGATGCTTACAAGTAAACTTGCTGGGAGAAACCAGGCAGCTACATGTGGTTATATCATCAAGACCTAGCTCTACCTAAACAGGATTTGATAGGAAAGGCAAGGGATAGGTTGGGCTAGAAGTGGGAAATGAGTGGATGTGGTTAGGTGGTAAGTGAGCATTTTTCTACATCTGTGACTTTTGCAAGATTGAAACTAAAATGTATAGGAGATTATTGAGATTTGAGAACTCTGAGGTAGAGAGGAGCTATGGGAAGAATTAGAGCTGAATTTTAATCCTAACACTAAAAATATGGTTAAGAGTCATTATAGGATTATAACAAATATAATGGTGTATAGAAATGAAGCTGGATGGTGATTTTAGCAGTGGTGTTTAGCTTTGATTGGCCTGCACATTCATTACTGATCAGCCTGTTTCTGAGTTACTGTCATCTTTCACCGCTTATGGTATATCTGCATGTTCTTTAAAAGACAATTTCTTCTGAAAGTAGTTAGTGGTAATTGGTTGCACAACCTTGTGAATATACAAAAAAACACTAAATCTGATACTTCAAAATGTGAATTTTATGGTGTGTGAACTAAATCTCAAAAAACAGTTTATTTTTCTTTCTGATATTAGGACAAAAGAGATGATGTTTTGATTGGTCTTAAGTCAACGGCTCTGCGGTTCGGAGAAAATACCAAGCCGTGGCTCAGCGGCTTCAGTGTTGCAATGCTGGGGGCACTGAGCCTAGTGGGTGTGAACAGTGGACAGACTGCTCCCTACTACGCTGCCCTGGGTGCTGTAGGAGCCCATCTGACTCACCAGGTTTGACCTTTTTCTTATTTGTCCCTCATATTTCCTTGGTATAAATTATAAAAATTATTTAAACAGTATGCCCTCTGTGTTTACCTGGCAAGGAACTTCTTAAACAACTACTTGGCTTCTACTACCTTTAACAGACCCCCCTGCCCTCCGGCCTCAACTTATAAGAAAGCTAGCTCTAGTATTTTATTTTATTTTTAAATTTTTTTTGAAACAGTGCTGTCCAGCCTGTCATCCAGGCTGGAGTGCAGTGGTGCAATCACAGCTCACTGCAACCTCTAACTCCTGGACTGAAGCAATCCTCCCACCTCAGCATCCTGGGTAGCTGGGACTACAGTCATGCACCACCATGCCTGGCTAATTTTTTTTATTTTTTGTAGAAATGGGGTCTTGAGATTTTGCCCAGGCTGGTCTGAAATTCCTGGCTTCAAGCAATCTTCCTGCCCTGGTCTCCCAAAAGTGCTGGGATTACCAGTGTGAGCTACCAACCCCAGCCAAGGTATATTATTTTTTAAAAATAATATAGGCCTAAATCCAAATTTTCCCATCTGATTTTCCTGGAATTACTTCTGATTCATGTCTGGAAAAATTTCAGTGATATCTGAAGCTTGTGGTTTGAGTTGAATTACTCTAAAAGCAAACTGACAGATAAAGCTTTTAAAAAAAAATCTGGGTTTCTAGTGATGGTTAGTAGACTAATTATTCATAAATTTGGTTTCTGCTGGCATAAAGACCAAGGACAGATAAGACATGAAATGCGGAACATGTCAAAGTTCTGCCAGTAGAGAGCAGGAAGCTGTCATTTCAGGATATTCACCCACACCACATCCCCTACCTGTCAGAAACTTATGTTGAGAATCTACATTGTTGACTTGTAAATGAATGAACTAAATCTAATTTTGATTAAATCACTTGCTAATAAATTGACTATATTTTTATATCAGTGTTATTGTTATTTTCATTAAACAGAATCAAAAAGGTATTCATGGTGGATCACCTGAGGTCAGGAGTTTGACCAGCCTGGCCAACATGGCAAAACCCCGTCTGTACCAAAAATATAAAAGTTAGCTGGGCATGGTGGTGGGCACCTGTAATCCCAGCTACTCAGGAGGCTGAGGCGGGAGAATCGCTTGAACCCAGGAGGTAGAGGTTCCAGTGAGCCAAGATCACACCACTGCACTCCAGCCTGGGCGACAGAGCAAGACTCCATCTCAAAAAAAAAACAAAAAAAAAAGAAGATATTCATGAAGCTGTATTTAGATGACTGATTTTATACAGATTATTGCCAATTACTATCAGTATAGGCAAGACTCACATAACATGGTATGAAGGAAATCAGAATCTGATGTCTGTAAAGTAAACCATATGCTGTGTCCCCTCCACTGTTTTCCTCACTGTGAAAACTAAAATGTGAATTGGTGACTTTCCAGGATGTCACCATTTTTCCCTTCAGAATTTCTCAGCATCCCTTTTTGGTCATAGCTCAGCTCCATGAGGGCTGACATTGTCATTTGATTGTCTGGTCTGGATAATGGGTATATGTTAATATTTAAACACCTGAATATTAAATAGTACAGGAAGGCAAAAATTATTAAGACAATCACAAATACTATAAGGAATATTCGGCCAGGCGCAGTGGCTCACGCCTGTAATCCCAACACTTTGGGAGGCCGAGGTGGGCAGATCACTTGAGGTCAGGAGTTCAAGATCAGCCTGGCCAACATGGATAAACCCTGTCTCTACTAATAATACAAAAATTAGCTGGGCATGGTGGTGTGCACCTGTAATTCCAGCCACTCGAGAGGCTGAGGCAGGAGAATCACTTGAAACCTGGGAGGCAGAGGTTACAGTGAGCCAAGATGGTGCCACTGCACTCCAGCCTGGGTGACAGAAGGAAACTGTGTCTCAAAAACAAAGGAAGAAAAAAGAAATACTTGGAGCCCACTTTATATTTTAAATCACATTTATGGTCCTCTGTCCAGTTTTGTTGTTGTTGTTGTTGTTGTTTGTTTTGAAACAGAGTCTTCCCTCTGTCACCCAGGCTGGAGTGAAGTGGCACGATCTTGGCTCAGTACAACCTCCACCACCTCCTGGTTTCAAGCGATTCTCGTGCCTCAGCCTCCGTAGTAGCTGGGATCACAGGCACACGCCATCATGCCCAGCTCATTTTTGTATTTTTTTAGTAGAGACGGGGCTTCGCCATGTTGGCCAGACTGATCGCAAACTCTTGGCCTTAAGTGATCCGCCCACCTCAGCCTCCCAAAGTGCTGGGATTACAGGCATGAGCCACCACGCCTGGCCTCTCTGTCCAGTTTTCGATACAGTGTTTAAAGATGGACGTAGCCTTTTAGTATTTAAAGAGAAAGGAAATCATGATAATTGTAAGTCTGCAGACCACATAATAAAGAATAGTCCCCCATGCCTAAGGAAGATAGGAACATACGTGAGACTTCCTTAGTGTATTTGCAGGGCTACCATGGGGAAAAAGGAGTACGCTTGTTCTAGATTACTAGCAACAGATTTAGGTCTCTAGCTCCCCTTCCCTAAATGTAGGTCCCTGAACAGGAGAGATTTAGAAATGTGGGAGGGCATTTTTGGTTATAATAAACTAGGAGGGGTGACTATATGGATGATGGCCAGATACAGTCAATATCTTGTGCTGCACCAGATTGCCCTGCATTAGAGTTGTCCTGCCCAAATGGGACTTGTTCTCCATTGAGAAACTTTGCTGCAGACGCTAAAACCAGAACTGGAGGGTAGGAGTTGCAGGGAGACAGACTTTAGATCAGTCAGTATAAGGAAGAACGTTCTAAATCGTTAGAACTAAAAACAGTATGGGTTGCCTCACAAGCATTCATGCAACCCTCAACCGAAAATTCTTAAGAAACAGCTTGGATGATTCCAAGTGAAAAATATGGTAAATTTTTCTTTTTCTTTTTCTTTTTTTTTGAGATAGAGTCTCACTCTCTCACCCAGGCTAGGAGGGTGCAGTAGGGTGATCATGGCTTATTGCAGCCTTGACCTCTTGGCCTCAAGCAATCCTCCCACCTCAGCCTCTTGAGTAGCTGGGACTACAGGCATGTGCCTTCGTGCCTAGCTAATTTTTCATTTTTTATATTTGTATTTTTTGTATTTGCTGTTTTCTCCTCCGTGTTAACATGTTTATTTGTTATGACCCAAAGTCCAGACTAGGTATTAATACAACTTTGTATTCCTCTCTTGCAGATTTACACTCTAGACATCCACAGACCTGAGGATTGTTGGAATAAATTTATCTCCAACCGAACACTGGGACTAATAGTTTTTTTAGGGATTGTCCTTGGGAATTTGTGGAAAGAAAAGAAGACAGACAAAACAAAGAAGGGTATAGAGAATAAAATAGAAAATTAATGAATGAAATTTATCTAGGAATTTTTAAAACATTTTTTACAAAATATAATTAGATTTGAATACAAAATCTGATACAATATGTTAAAGAATTAAGAACCTGAAGATGAAGATTTAGAGCATATTTACCTGGATTTTACTTATTTGCTAGCAAAATTCCCCCTTGTCACAGAAACCAGGGACTCTTCAGGATTTGAGATGGCCTTGAGTATTTTAGTTGATACATTCTTCTGCCCATTATAATTCTCACCTGAAGTTATGGGGATTGCACGGGTTTTGGCACTTTAGAAAAAGCCTGATGTGGGTCTTACATAAATGAATGTCTGTATAAGAAAATGGACTCTTTTTTTTAGGGAAAAATAAAAGCAACTATGGGAAGTTGGGCCTTACTGTTCTTTATTGTGACCTTTAGTCACTGCCAAAAACTGTAATTTAGGAAACCAATTCTGTTTTTTTATGTTTTAGGAGAATTTAAATAACCAAATAGAAGTATTTAGCTATTATAGCCACATGTACCACTGTTTACCAACCCTGACTTTTATTTGGGAGATTTGGTCTCTGTGTGCAGTCACAGTGACCAGAACAGACAAGTGGGCAGTCACCAGAGACTACCTTGATTTTCTGTCTATATCTTTTTTATCTTATCCCATTATAGTTTATAGGATAGTGATATTTAAATGTTTACTGTTTTTTCCTTTACCTGCCCTCACCTTCACAATGTTCTCAACACAGTAACCAGAGTAATTCTCTTAAAACCTGAGTAAGGTCATGTCATTCCTCTCCCCAGAACCCTCCAGGATCTCCCTAGGTCACTCAGTACAAAACGAAAGTCCTACCACCTGCCAGGCCCTCCATGACTTGGCTTCATGTCTGACTTCTCACACTCACACCTGTAGCCCCACTGGCCTCACTCTTCCTTAAACAGGCTGGGCAGACTCCTACCCCAGGGCCTTTGCATTTACTGTTCACTTTGTCTGGAAAGTTCTCCCCAGATCATGTCTTACTCCTTCACTGCAGAACCTTTCTTAAATGTCACCTTCTCTAAGAGGCTTTTCTTAGCCATCTTCAAAAATCTCACCTGCAAATACCACCCATACTTCTGTCCCCTTGCTTTTTTTTTTCTCTTCAGCTCTTAATATTAGCAACCTGAACTATATCTTACTTGATTTAAATTGCTCTCATAGACAGTAGGCTATAGGGCAGACAGTCATTTGTATATGTGGGTGTGGGCAGCAGTAAATATAAAATTGCATGATGAGGGCGACGATGATGGTGATGATGAAGATGATGATGCAGCTAACAGCACTTACATATGCCAGGCACTGATAAGCATAGGAAAAATTATTTAACTGTTTACTCAGCAAATACTGAGCCACTGAAAATGACTTGGGTCAGTTGTTGCAGCTGTAACTTTGCTATAGCAGCAGTGAGTTGAAGGGGAGAAGAATTAGGAACATAGTACCCTACTTTTGAGGAAATATGATTGGCTTTGATTTTAACAGAATAGACAGAGTTTAAATCTATGTTGATTTCTGTTTTCTTACAGATACGACCCTATATTTTAAAATGCTTAAAACATCTTAACCCATTGCACTGGTTCCAATTAAAGAAGGGTGAGTACAATGTACTTCAATTTTACAACATTCTCCTTAGTTTATGAAAGTTAAAAATGGAACAGATTTTAAAATCACTAAAAATCCTGCAGCTTTTTTGTGATACAGGGGACAAGAGAACATAACATTAATTCATACATACTCAAAAAGCTTATTCTCAAAAAGCTGCTTAAACATAATTGAATTATTTTAGTTCTTTTTCATTTTTCCTCCCTTCTCCCAGTAGAAAACGCTGAAAAAATAATATAAATGGGTAAGGAACAGATTTTTGGAAAAGAAAAAACGATGAAGTAGATTATTAGTCTCTAGAATCACAGACTTAAGACAACTCGAGTTGGAAAGACACACAGCAGTCATCCATCTAGATCAGGAGTGTCAGTCCCTAGGAGAGTTGAAATGAGCATTGCCAGGAGTTTGTGATAGTTGAAATGACCAGCATTGCCGTGGGAATTTATTCAGTGAGGAGGGCCCTTGCCCTACTCTTCTGCTTCAAAGTCACTGTGAGTTTTTCAATAGAAATCATGTGAAAGAACTTTTTAAACTGTGGACAATTATCTACCACAATTTCATGATGGGGGTGGAGATAGGATGGGAGCTACAGGGTCTAAAAAGTAAATGAATACAACTATTCCAGCTCTAACTGACCTGTCCTCTGAATTCCCAGAGCACTTGGTGGGTGCCAGTGGAGCAGGAGCTGTGAATGCCAGTCACAGCCACAGCTTGCCAGGGTTGGAATCTGCTTTAACACCTATCAGTTGGGTGATCTTGGGCAAGTTCCCTGACCTCTCTGTGGCTCACTCGGGGATAATCATAATACCTTTCTCATGCATTTCAAAATTTTCTGTCTTCCCCTGCGAATGGAGATTTCATGGTAAGTGGGACCTTGTTTGTCTTATTCATTGAAATATCCCCAATATACCATATCACAAGGGCTGCCTCTCCCTCTTCCCGGATTTCTTTGCTAAATTGTTTAATGCCTCTACCTGATTTTTATAATCTGGCCTCACCCTAATGTTTCCTCCAACTGAAAGTACACCCTCCACCCTCTGGGTGCCAGTGGAGCAGGAACTAAGAACGCTATCATGACGACAGCTTGCCAGGGTTGGAATCTGCTGTAACACCTGCCTACCAGTTGGTTGCTCTTGGGAAAGTTCCCTGACCTCTCGGTGGCTCAAATACTCAAATAGGTATAATCCTAATACCTTTCTCATGGATTTAAAAATTCTCTGTCTTCCCTTGCGAGAATGGAGATTTCATGATCAGTGGGACCTTGTTTGTCTTATTCATTGAAATGTCCCCAGTATACCACACTGTAAGCACTCAGTAAACATTTGTAATTTTTGTACATCGGGTGAACTAACATTAGAGTTACTTGTCAGACCTGGTGTTAGGTGCAACCATTAGAAATTATTAATGCTGGCCAGTCACGGTGGCTCACACCTGTAATCCTAGCACTTTGGGAGGCCGAGGCGGGCGGATCACGAGGTCAGGAGATCGAGACCATCCTGGCTAACACTGCGAAACCCCGTCTCTACTAAAAATACAAAAAAATAGCCAGGCATGGTGGCGGGCGCCTGTAGTCCCAGCTACTTGGGAGTCTGAGGCAGGAGAATGGCGTGAACCTGGGAGGTGGAGCTTGCAGTGAGCTGAGATCGCGCCACTGAACTCCAGCCTGGGTGACAGACCAAGACGCTGTCTCAAAAAAAAAAAAAGAAAAAGAAATTATTAATGCTGTTCAACAACATAAAAAGTTGACTATGTGAGGTAACGTTACAAAAACATTTTCATGTACATATCATCAAAACTATATAAGAATATAAGTAATGCTGCTGTCTGCCCACCAGGTGGCCTTGCTCTGTAGGAGCAGTCACAACTCTTAACAACACTGGAGCGTAACACTGCCTTTTCGATAAAGCTGTTTTATTCTATCTCTGGCTTGCCCTTTGCCCTTCTTTCCTGGGCAAAGCCAAGAACCCTCGTGGACTAAGCTCCACTTTGGGGCTCATTTGCCCTGTATCAATGGTAACACCTATTTCTTAGGGTTAATGTATAATTTAGAGACTATGCAACACATTTAATATAGGTGCTGGCATACAGTAACTAATTTTTAACTTTAGAAATTAATCAGGCCAGGAATGGTGGCTCATGCCTGTAATCCCAGCACTTTGGGAGGCCAAGGCAGGTGGATCACTTGAGGTCAGGAGTTCGAGACCAGCCTGGCCAACATGGTGAAACCCCATCTCTACTAAAAATACAAAAAAAATTAGCCAGGCTTGGTAGCACACACCTATAATCAATCCCAGCTACTCAGGAGGGTGAGGGAGGCATGAGAATTGCTTGAACCTGGGAGGCAGAGGTTATACTATACTTCTTTTGTAAAATCTACTTTTTTCACTTAATATTTTCCCATGTCATTAATGCTTCTTTCAATATATTGATGTTTTTTGGCTGCATGGGTTTTTATCATATGTATGTACTGCAATTTAATTAATCCTATCATGGATTTTAATATTTACATTTTTTCCTTCTCACAAGCAGTACGGCCATGAATAGATTTGTATCATTGGGCATATCTGTGAATATTTCTGTAGGAAAAATCCTAGAAGCAGAATGTCTTTGTATGTGCATGTACATTTCCAGGGATTGGAGGGTAGGTATGGAGGGTGGAGTATGGTGGTAGGCACATTTTAAAGGATTTGGATTCATTTTCTCAAATTACCCTACAGAAAGCTACACATTGCTAATAGCAGTGCATGAGAGCCTCTTTCTCAGACCTTGGCCAATATGAAAGGATACTATTTTTAAAACTTTGACACATAGGCAAGAACAATATGTGGTTTCACTCACAACTCTGTGATTACTAAAGTAGTTGATCTTTTTCAAAGTGTTTATAGAGCATTTTTATTTCTTCTGTGTGAGTTGCCTTCATGTCTTTGCCCATTTGGTTATTGTTGTTGTTGATGTACGCTGCCTCATTCATTGATTATATCCCCAAGATCTGATATCTGACAGACTTGTGCTCTCATTTTACAAGATTATCGTGTTATTAATTGTGATGGGATTTTGGATTTCATGCTTTATACTGAACTATCTCTTCCATGGAGAAGGTAACATTTAACATTTTTATAGTTGTTCCAATTAATATGTATTATTCAGACAGTCCAAACATTTGTTGAACATCTGTGTGCAGGCACAGGCTAGTTGCTGCAAACACAGAGATTAATTAGAGTTTCTATCTTCAAAAAGCTCAGAATCAGTAGCTGGGATTACAGGCACGTGCCACCATGCCTGGCTAATTTTTGTATTTTTAGTAGAGACGGGGTTTCACCATGTTGGCCAGTCTGGTCTCCACCTCCTGACCTCAAGTGATCTGCCCACCTTGGCCTCCCAAAGTGCTGGGATTACAGGCATGAGCCACTGCACCTGGCCTCTCTCTCTTTCTTTCTTTCTTTTTGTAGAGACAGGGTCTTGCTTTGTTGCCCAGGCTGGTCTTGAACTCCTAGGCTCAAGCAGTCCTCCTGTCTCAGCCTCCCAAGTTGCTGGGATTAGAGACGTGAGTCAACCTCACTCAGCATAAATACTTTTTTTTTTTTTTTTTTTTTCAAATAAAATCGTACATAAAACCCCAACAAATACGTACAGATGGAAATCAGAGACAGTCCCCTTAAACTGAACCTTCCTTTCTTTTAGGATTGTCACAGAGCCCAAGTTGAAAACTATCTCTTAGAGATAAGAATGAACATTGGAGTCCCTACAGTTACTAACTGAATGACTTAGAGTGAACTATTTAAACCTCTCCAGCCTATCTCTTTATATCTAAAATGGGAATTAAAATAATATCTACCTCATGCTGGTGTTTTAAGAATTGCATGAGAAAATGATCTCATCTAAACTCCTGACTTTAAATGTCATCTGTATACTGATTATTCCCAAATGTGTACCTCCAGCCTAAACTTCCCTTTTGAACTTGCACTTGGCAGAATTGAATATTGAACTGCCTACTTGATATTTCAACATGAATGCCAAATAGGCACCTCCAGTTCAATATGTTCAAAACTGAACTCCTGATCTCAGCCTCAAACCTCCTCCTCCCACCCTTCTTGCCATCTCATTAATGGCATCTCCTTTTCCTTTTGCTCTGACCAAAACCTTGGAATCAACCATGACTCCTTTTTCCCACATTCCATATTCAAGACATTAGAAAAGCATATTGGTTCTACCTTCAAAATACATGCAGAATCTAATCTTTTCCTACCACCTCCACAGCTGCCACCCTGGCCCAAGTCCCTATCTTCTCCCCGCTGGATTAACACATTAGCCTCCTCACTGGTCTCCCTCCTTCTCCCTTGCCCCCTTTCATGTGTCCTCACCATAGCAGCCAGGCCGATCCTGCTACAACCAAAGCCAGCGTATGTCATTCCTCTAACTCAGAACCTCCCCATACCTCCCCATTTCTCCCAGTGTAAAGCCAAAGTCCTTAGCATGGCTGAAGGACCCTCAGTGAGCGGGCTCCTGCTGCCTTCTGGCTCTTCTTCCACTCCCTCCCTCGCCAGTGCTGCTGCAGGCCTTCTGCCGCTGCAGCCTTCTGGCCTCGTTGGGGTTCCTGGAATGCTTTCCTAGATGTTGCCATGGATACTTCCTCACCTCCTTCAGTATTTGCCCAAAAGTCACCGATTCAGTGAAACCATTGTCTTCATTTTCTAAGACTTAACACACACCATTACACAAACTTCTTTTTCTCTCTCACTGCTTTTTCTCCATATTAAAACATATGATATACAGTCATATGTCACTTACAGATGGAGATACTTTCTGAGAAATGCATCATTAGCCAATTTCATCCCTGTGCAGACATTATAGAGTTCATGTACACAAACCTAGATTGTCTAGCCTACTACACACCTAGGCTATGTGGTATATAGTCTATTGCCCCTAGGCTACAAACCTGCGTAGCATACTGTACTTCATGCTGTAGGTAATTGTAACACAATGGTAAGTATTTGTGAATCTAAACATATTTAAACACAGAAAAGGGCTAGGTGTGGTGGCTCACACCTGTAATCCCACCACTTTGGGAGGCCAGGGCAGGAGGATCACTTGAACCCAGAAGTTCAAGACCAGCCCAGGCAACATGACTAAACCCCATCTCTACAAAAAATACAAAAATTAGCCGGGTGTGGTGGCACATAGCTGTAGTCCCAGCTACTTGGGAGGCTGAAGTGGGAGGATTACTTGAACACAAGAGGTAGAGGCTGCAGTGATCGCGCCACTGCACTCCAGTTTGGGCAACAGAGTGAGAACTTGTCTAAAAAAAAAAAAAAAGAAAGAAACACAGAAAAGGTACAGTGAAAATACAATATAATCTTATGGAACCATTGTCCTATATGTGGTCCATCATTGACTATAACATTGCTGTGTAGCACATGACTGTAATTTGTTTTACTTATTTTCTTTGTTGTGTGTCCTCACTAACAAGAACCTAACTTCATGAGGGCACAGATATTTTCTGTTTGAATCATCATACTTTATTTCCAGTGTCTGGAATACTGCCTAGCACATAGTAAATTCTTAAAAAATATTTGTAGAATGAATCACGTATATAAAGCTTTTAACAGCACAGTATGTGATTCATTGCCTTCAGGCATTTTTAGCACTCTTTTTCTTCTCCAAAGGATTTATCTTTCCAGAAACCATCTATGAGGAACTGTTCACTTAAGAGGAAGCTGAGGCCGGGCACGGTGGCTCACGCCTGTAATCTCAGCACTTTGGGAGGCTGAGGCGGGCGGATCACGAGGTCAGGAGATCGAGACCATCCTGGCTAACATGATGAAACCCCGTCTCTAGTAAAAATACAAAAATTAGCCGGGCGTGGTGGCAGTCTCCTGTAGTCCCAGCTACTCGGGAGGCTGAGGCAGGAGAATGGCATGAACCCGGGAGGCAGAGCTTGCAGTGAGCCGAGATGGCGCCACTGAACTCCAGCCGGGGTGACAGAGTGAGACTCCATCTCAAAAAAAAAAAAAAAAAGAGGAAGCTGATTTTTCAGATTCTATTTCAGGAGAACAATTTTAACATTCAGTTTCTAAGCCTGAGTTTTTTAAATGGTGTTAGTTTAGAGGGGTGGGGGAAAGGTGGGGACAAAAAGTGGAGAATTTGTAAAAATTATAGATGAATTTTAAAAGGGATATCCCACTGGCTACAGTGGCTCAGACCTGTGTCAAAAAAATAAAAAATAAGGCCAGGCACAGTGGCTCAGGCCTGTAATCCCAGCACTTTGGGAGGCCGAGGCTGGTGGATCACCTGAGGTCAGGAGGTCAAGACCAGCCTGGCCAACATGGTGAAACCCCGTGTCCTAAAAATACAAAACAGCCTGGCATTATGGCAGGTGCCTATAATCCCAGCTACTTGGGAGGCTGAGGCAGGAGAATCGCTTGAACCCAGGAGACAGAGGTTGCAGTGAGCCAAGATCACGCCACTGCATTTCAGCCTAGGGGACAGAGCAAGACTCTGTCTCAAAAAAAAAAATATTTAAAATATATATATATATATCTAGGGATATCCTACCCATTAACGAAGTATAAATTCATGTAAAGAAATGGAAAGTAATGCATGCAAATGTTAACTAGATTTATATTTGTTTATCTCGTTTAAAACTCTTCAACAATCTTGAAAATTCAAGTTAGTAATTTTTTTCTTAGGCAGCATTGGCATAGTAACAAACTGAAATAATCATGGCTTTTACTTGCTTTATACTTAAGCAGTAGAAATGTCAACACAGCATCTGGGAAAGAATTATTGGGATCAGAGGTCATGTCCCATTGCAGGAATGCCTCATAAACATAAATTGCTTTCAGTTTACATCATTTCCTTGAAGAGAGGAAAGTGTTAAAGACATTTTAACACTTTAGAATCTGCAGGAAGTTTATGGCTCTGATCAATATTTTTTAAATACTGCTAAAAATACACACTAAATATTTTATTTTATTTTATTTTATTTTTGAGACAGAGTCTCACTGTCACCCAGGCTGGAGTGCAGTGGCATGATCTCAGCTCACTGCAACCTCTGCCTCCAGGGTTCAAGCGATTCTCGTGTCTCAGCCTCCCAAGTATCTGGGATTACAGGCGCATGCAACCATGCCTGGCTAATTTTTTATTTTTAGTAGAGGCAGGGTTTCACCATGTTGGCCAGGCTGGTCTCGAACTTCTGACCTCAGGAAACCTGCCTTCCTCGGCCTCCCAAAGTGCTGGGATTACAGGCATGAACCACCGTGCCTGGCCAAAATACACACTGAGTATTTTAAACAAATCCACTTAAAAACATGTTACAAATCAAAAAGTTTTTAGCACAGATCAATTAATTACTAATTGAAAATTGTTAAGATCTCTGAAACATGGAAGAATGTAAGGAAAGGGATACAATTTTATAATTTTTTCTCATTCATGTATTCATGTTTCTGATTTTCTTCATTCTGTTTTTAGCTGGTCTTTATGTGTGCATAGATAGGCTCTGCTTTAAAATAAAATGTGAATGGAAGTTACACACATGAACGTTTTTCAAGAAGTTGGAACAGCAAGTGCATAAGCCTTGACATGGGGATGAATGAAGCAGATTCGGGTAACAAGAAGGCCAGATTTCTAGTCTTGTTTCCATAGTCCACAGCCATCCCATATTATAGCAAGTGGTAGTGAAGATGTAGAGTAACTGGAACTCTTATACATTGCTGGTAGAAATGCAAAATGGTTTTGTCACTTTGGAAAACAGTTTGGCAATTTCTTTTTTTTTTTTTTTTTTTTTAAGTCAGAGTCTTGCTCTGTCACCCAGGCTTGAATGCAGTGGCGTGATCTCAGCTCACTGCAACCTCCACCTCCCAACCTCCCAGGTTCAAGCGATTCTTCTGCCTCAGCCTCCCAAGTAGCTGGGACCACCCACCCCAAACTCCTCAAGTGATTTGCCCACCTCGGCCTCCCAAAGTGCTGAGATTACAGCCATGAGCCACCGCACCCGGCCTGGTTTGGCAATTTCTTATCATTGACTATGCACTGAGTATAAGACCCAGCAAAATCACTCCTAGGTATTTACCCATGAGGAAAGAAAACTTACGTTCACATAAAAACCTGTCCATGAATGTTAATAATAGCTTGATTCATTATAATCCCAAATTGGAAAAAAAAAAAGCTTTAATGTCCTTCAGCTGGTGAAAGAATAAACAAACTACGGTACATATATAATGAAATACTATACGACAATAAAGAGGAACAGACAACTGATATATGTAGCAAAATGCATGAATCTCAAATGCATTATGCTAGGTGAAGGAAGGCAAACCCAAAAAACTATATACTACATGATTCCATTTGTGTGATAATCTGAAAAAAGCAAAACTGTAAGTACAGAAAACAGACCAGTGGCTGCCAGGGACTGGAGGTCAGAGGAGTATCTGACTACAAAAGGGAAGGAGGAGATTTCGGAGGATGATGGAACTGTTCTATATCTTGATTGCAATGGTTTGACATAGTTATAGGCATTTGCCAAAACTCTTAGGATTGTACCCACACACAAAAGGTGAATTTTACTGTATGCTAACTATACCACAATTTTTAAAAAGTGAACAAAAGTCATTTTTACCAAGTTAGGGTGAGAATAATCAGAATTATATTGTTGCCATCCTAATTAAGTTAGGGGCTAAATTTTCATTGCTGTAGATATGCCTGCATATGGAGTTGTGTTCTGGAAAAACCAACTCTTTTCTGAAACCTACAGCCCTTCACTTAATCAATATTTATCAAGTACCTATTATATGCCATACACTATTCTAGGTTCTGAGGATACCTCAGTGAACAAGACATATCCCTACCCTCCTAGAACTTGCATTTTAATAAGTGAGTAACTCTGTAGGTAAATAAGTGCATAGGCTACTTTAAATAATATAATGTAGTGGTAAGTTGTTATAAAGAAAACTAAAGCCTGGTGAAAGAGAGTTATGGGGAAAGGAGGCTATTTTTGATAGAGTACTAAGGAAGGATTTCCAAGTGACAGTTGAACAGAGGTTTAATTGATGTGATGGAGCTATGTGAATACCTGACGGAAGAGAGTTCCAGGAAGAAGGAAAAGCAAGTGTATCAGCCTTGAAACAGGGATGAACCAGGCAGATACAAGGAACAACAGGAAAGCTAGATTTCTGCTCTTGCTTCCATAGCCCATTACCATGCCACGTTAAATGGAGATAATTTTAATTTATACTTATCATAATAGTAAAATTCCAGGGAAAATTCGTTTATCCCTCCCAAAATGAGAACTTGAAGGTACCATAATGCATAACTACTGTCAAAAAAAAAAAAAAAAGTGGGAAACTGCAAATTTGCCAGTGTTCTCAGTTGTAAACCGGTCAGTTTAGGCACACATTTTCTCTGGAGGACATTAGAAAACTCACAGAAATGCTGGGAAAGCTGAAGAACCAGTGTGCTTGTTATTAATTTATTGCCTCTCAGCTCTAAATCCGTCCTTCATTATCTACTCTGCAATAGTGGAGTTGAATCCTGTAGACTTTTCTCCTTTGCAGTGAGTGGGATGTCAGACTTTTTCAGTAGAGGGCGCTGGAGGGACCCTGCAGGAGGAAAGGGCTTCTTCCTGGTCGGGCGTGTTTCCATTTGCTTCTTGCTTCTGCTCCTGGCTGTAAGCAACATATGGCAGGGACATCCAGTAATGCTCCTCCCCAACTATTGCAGGCTAAATTGTGTCCCCCCAAATTCATGTTGACATCCTAACCTGCAATACCTCAGAATGTGACTGTATTTGGAGATAGGGTCTTTAAAGAGGTTATTAAGGTTAAATGAGATTACTAGTGTGGGCCCTAATTTGATATGCCTGGTGTCCTTACAAGAAGAGGAGTTGAGGACACAGACTCCCACAAAAGGAAACATGTGAAGGCACTGGTGGAAGACAAGCCAAGGAAAGATGCCCCTAGAAGTAACCAGCCCTGCCAACACCTTGATCTTGGACTTCTAGCTGCAGATTGTGAGGAAATACATTTCTGTTGTTGAAGCCCCCCAGTCTGTGGTATTTTGTTGTGGGAGACCTAGCAAACTAACATACCAGTGTGCACAGAGAGGGCACAGTCCCTTGGCAAGCCACCAGCTCCAGTTCTGTGACCACCTGGCTGCATGCAGCCCTCCTAACACCAGGCTTCATGACAAGCAGTCAGTAAAGGGGTTCTTGATGCCCTCAATCCCTGCACAGGTCCATCCACTAGCCTCAGCCCTCTCCTACACCTCGGAGTGGTTTGCCAACCTTCTCACGTGCATCCCAGAGACATGTTTCCCACTTGGTAGTCCTAACTGTGGTTTTCTGGCCAGCCTCCGTCCCCCTGCTCCCTAGAAGAATATTACCTGCCTGTCCAGTGACTTAGACTGGCTCTGGCCTGGATCAACCCAGCAAACTTGTCCACCCTCCAGTGGACTGCAGCCACACCTTCTCCAGCAGAGCTTGAATTCCAGCTTGACCAGAGGAATCCCTTCCAAGTTTGCTTCTTCCTCAAGTATTTTTCTCAGCTCTAGAGTACTCTTTAGCATTCTGCTTACCCCTTTTAGTTATTCCCCTCCTCTAGTTAATACTATTTATTAAACTTTCCCTGTTCAAATTACACTCCGATTCTGGACTAGTACAGAATCCAACTGCCACAAAATGGTGCTGGGAGTAGTCCTAGGAGATAGACCTGCGGAGGTGGGATTTGAGGGCTGACCCTGTCCTTGGAGTTCAGCACAGTGCTGAACTCCTTAGCAATGGGAAATGGGAAGCTAGTGACCTGTGGCATGCAGGGACATCACACATCAAGCTAGCACTTGTGGCTAATTGTAATGAAGTTGTAACCAAAGCAAGTGTCTTAGGAGCCCAAATGGCAGTTGCAACTAACTGTTACGGCAGTACATGATGCCTGTAAGGAATGTACTGTGGGACAGATTTTTCTGAGCATACTTGAGTAGTAACAGAAAAATGACAAACCCAAATCCTTTAACTCTGAGCTCAAGTCATTGTTAGAGGACGACAGAGCTTTGAGGATAGCCCTAAAAGAATCTTTTATTGCTCACAGCCAGAGGGCTGATATTGCTAAAAAATTAAACATAAAATTTAAGGGTGTGGGTTGCTGACTTACAACAATAGTTGAATGTATAGTTTTGAGCTTCCCTCTCCTGTGGAAGTAGCTTGCTCTTGGTAGAAGACTAGCCTTCCTCTGCTTAAATATCTGTGTTAAGCTCATCTGGGGACAGATGCCTTAAAAGGAGTTACTCATTCTCTAAATCTACCACAACCACCCCTTGTTGCCACTAGACTCATGATTATTGCCAAAGCTCAGCAAGTTCCAGTAGGACAGGGATCCACCATGACCCAGCAAGAAATAGTTTATACGCCAAAAGAATTGCCACACTTTTCTAATGTGTATCTTCAGAGACCTGGGGAACATGTGTGGAAGTACATCCTAAAGATGTTCGAATGAGAATAGTGGGATAGAACACTAGAGCAGGCTAACTTCATTCCTATGAGCGCACTTTAACTAGACAGCTTTCCTGTCACAATATGGAAGAGAGACTCCAAAGGCTTAGGGCGATAGGCAAATGGGACTGGATTTACCATGTGCAAACTGCATGCCCAGCCCCCAGCATGTTCCAGGAAAAGAGTCAGGAGACAACTCCCTGCACTAAGGCACCAGCAGACTGGAAAAGCTCTGTGGGTGTCTCCTTTGCAGGCTACGTGTGGCTGTAAAGAATGCGACCATTGAGAGAGGCTTCCAGATTTCAATGGGGATGATGGAATCCCAGAGAGGCAGAGTCAAAGTGACTGCATTTAACCACCAAAGACAAGAAGCGTGGACATATTTACAATACAGGGCAGCAGGAACATAGTGCTAACCAGTTGCCTTAGCTCACAAAGATCTGTGGTGGTAATTGATCATAGTGTTCCTAGGAACAAAATGGATGGGTAGTCAAAAATGTAGCTTGCATCATCATAGTAAAAAGTCACAGCCTTTTACCCAGTTTTCAGACTTAATAAATTTACAGATGCAGAGGGTCTTGATTGAAGAATGTCTCTGGTGGCCCACCCTAACCAGAGCCATGCAGGCAGAAGAACTGTGGGACATGTAGTTCAGTCTAGCCAAGTTGACAATTATAAAGCCACCACTCCTAAGGAAGGCGCAGAGCAGCGATTTGACCGTAGGTGGTCAGGAGTCGCAGCCTCCACTCTTGACTGTTACTCTATTTTGCCTCCTTGGGGTACAAGGTGAAAAAACCCTCAACCCTGGTCTGGAGGGCCTGGAACTCCAGCTGACACCCACCACAGTGTGAGTGATGAGGAAAACACAAGGCAACTGGATCCAGTGGCAAATCTGCCATTTTAAGGGGGATGATTATCTTGTCTTTTCTTCTCTGAGGAAAGAGGCTTCTAGGAAGCTGTACCTGGTGGCTGTTTGTTCATGATGCTACTGTACTGATAAACTCAGACCTTCCTAGGTGGGCACGTAAGGCCTGCTTATCCCCCAGCTAGGGTGAGCAAACCTCCTGGTTTGCCAGGGCATGGGAGTATCTGCACTCAACTATGAAAATACTGGGCAAACCAGCACCCCCAGAATCTGGCAATCCAGCCACCACTCAGCTGCTGCATTGTTTGGGAGGGAGGACAACAAAACAGTACGATGATTTGCTCAGATTTTCTCCCTACTATTTTGAATCTATTAAACAGATTACAGAGACTTTTGGCTCTACTTCAGGATAGAATCAGGTGTGTTAATGTAAGTGTAATATTTTGTAAAGCATACATACTTTTGCTGGGTGCGGTGGCTCACGCCTGTAATCCCAGCACTTTGGGAGGCCGAGGCAGGCGGATCACCTGAGGTCGGGAGTTCGAGACCAGCCTGACCAACATGGAGAAACCCTGTCTCTACTAAAAATACAAAATTAGCCGGGCGTGGTGGTGCATGCCTATAATCTCAGCTATTTGAGAGGCGGAAGCACGAGAATCGCTTGAACCCGGGAGGCGGAGGTTGCGGTGAGCCGAGATCGTGCCATTGCACTCCAGCCTGGGTAACAAGAGTGAAACTCTGTCTCAAAAAAAAAAAAAAAAAAGCATACATACTTTCGAGTCTACATATTCTTTGGCCGTTAGTGTGGATTCCAGTAAGATGGTGGAACATTTACCATAAGCTCAATAGATGGAGAGTTCATTGAGGCAGCTTCGCGGCCCAGAACTACATAAGGTCTGTCATACATTTTCTTTGTAAATAAACCTGAGTTAAAAATAACTTTCTGGCTGGGTGTGGTGGCTCATGCCTATAGTCCCAGCACTTTGGGAAGCAGAGGCAGGAGGATCACTTGAGCCCAGGAATTCAAGACCAACCTGGACAACATGATGAGCCCCCATCTCTATAAAAAATACAAAAATTAGCCAGGTGTGGTGGTGCATGCCTGTAGTCCCAGCTACTTTCAGGGCTGAGGCGGGAGGATCATTTGAGCCTGGGAGGTGGAGGCTGCAGTGAGCCATGATCGTGCTGCTGCACTCCAGCCTGGGTGACAGTGAGACCCTGTCTCAAAATAATAATAATAATAATTTCCTCAGAACTTTTAGAATATTTATTTTTAAGAAGGAAGTGTGTTTAATTTTTTTTTCAGGATTTAGTGGAGGCCATTATTGGATACCAGGGGCAAAGGTCAGCCCAGGGTAAGGTGAGTCCAGGAGAAAGCCCAGCCTGTCCTACAACAGCCCTGCGGCATAGAACCGGTGGTGAGCCTGCCATGGTTTGCTTCTGGGCAGCAGGCTGGACCACCTGGGGAGCATGGAAGACTGTGTCTGTGTTCCCTCAACCATCCCCAAGTTTACAGCAGCCCCACTGTGAGTCAGGAGTCATTCCTGACTCACGGTAGGGACAGTTTGCATTTATGGAAAGCAAACTGGAAGGAGTGGCCTGAGCCCATATTGCCCATGGTAATGACTCCTTGCAATGCGAATAACCAAGGTGAGGCAGGTTGGGCAGGTTTTATCCTCCCCACAAAGGCGAGCCTTTGTGCCACAGCCAGCACCTGGCAGAGTGGGAGAGATAGCAGAACCAGAGCTGCTCATTTCCCTCCATCAGGCTAGAGTGGGTCAGTGGGATCATGGACCGAAAGAAGACATTGAATGGCTGGTCTGTCGCTCAGAAACAGGGTCCTGGAGCTGGAGTGGCCATGGGTTGGGTGGAGAGAGTAGGTGGTATGGCCCCCTTAACCAGACAACTAAAACCAACCTGCCCCTTAGCTGCCCACCCCCAGTGAGTTCTGCCTCAGCTTCCTGCCTAAGCCCTTGTAGAATGCCCTCTAGGGCAAGACTTCTGGAGGGGATGGTCCTGCCCTGAGCCATCCTCACATGAGGGTAGAGCAGTTCATGGGCGCAAAGGGCATCTTGCTGACTGCGCCCATCTGCTGCTTCTGCCGCACCTCTACCAGCAGCATTATCCCTGGCTGACTACTGGCAGGGCATGTAACTCATTGCCACAGTCTTCTTCAGGTAGGGCAAGGGACAGCCACTGGTCACAGTACCAATCATGGGCCCTCCATGCTCAGGTGGGACTGTGTGCCTGCATCAGGGCCCCCTCACACATCAACCCCACACGCCTCCACTGCACTTTCCCTTCAGCTGGGGAACAATGACCTTGGCTCCAGGGAAGTCGAGAGCAGCTCAGTGGCACTTCCCCAATGTCCAACTGAGGCTGCCCTCCACAGGGGTAGTGTGTTCATCAGTGTCACTCCTGTACAGCCGGAGGCCTGCCTCCAGGCGCAAGCTGCCAGCACTGCCAGCTTTGCCTCTGGGTTTTCCAGAAGAGCTGATGCGGGGTGAACTGCCCCCGCTGCTGGCACCAAGATGTCCACACCATTCTCTCCTGTGCAGCCACAGTGTGTAAGGTGGCGGCCAGACACGTCAAACACCTCCATCACAGCACTAGTCATGAAGGCAGTTTCCTCAGGTCAGCTGCCGTGCTGGCCTGTAGCACCTGGGCCACAGGGGGCCCTTTCAGGGCTAGCAGGGCAGTATCCACTACCTCCAGGCCCACATCTCTGCCCTGCCTCTAAAGTTCTCTGACCTTGTCCTGCATGAAGGCCAAGTCTTTTTCCCAGCAGCCAGTGTTGGACATCACATGTAGGTGCCCCTCAGAAGTGCTGGTCACAATCAAGTCATCTAAGGTGCCTCCAGCCTCATTGGTAAACAGCAACAGTGTCCTCTGGTTTGGCCTCAGCTCTGCAGTGTCTCCAACCACTAGACTCTGCATCAGCTTCACCGGGTCACCACCACGTATCTCGGTCTGTGCACAACTAAGCAGATGACACAAGGCAGGAGGGAATGCCTGCAGGAGAAAACCCCGATTGGCCACCGTGCTCACAGCCCACTGCATTGTCGCCTCTGACGGGTGCAGATGGTGCACAGAGGCCACCACTCTGCCACACATGCTGGGAGATGTAGTTCTTAGAATATTTAAACACCAGCAAAAACTACAGTTATTAAAGAGAACAGGTAAGTATGTAGATAAACTTAATGCACAGGAGGTGGGGAACTCTCTTTTAGACTTTCTTTCAAAAGCTGCCCACTGAGCACTTTTTTCTTTTAAAAAATTATTGCTCTTTTTTTTTTTAAATTATACTTTAAGTTCTAGGGTACATGTGTACAATGTGCAGGTTTGTTACATAGGTACACATGTGCCATGTTGGTTTGCTGCACCCATTAACTCATCATTTACATTAGGTATTTCTCCTAATGCTATCCCTCCCCCAACCCGCCACCCCACAACAGGCCCTGGTGTGTGATGTTCCCCTTCTTGTGTCCATGTGTTCTCATTGTTCAATTCCCACCTATGAGTGAGAACGTGTGGTGTTTGGTTTTCTGTCCTTGTGATAGTTTGCTCAGAATGATGGTTTCCAGCTTTATCCATGTCCCTGCAAAGGACATGAACTCATCCTTTTTTATGGCTGCTTAGTATTCCATGGTGTATATGTGTCACATTTTCTTAATCCAGTCTATCATTGTTGGACATTTGGGTTGGTTCCAAGTCTTTGCTATTGTGAATAGTGCCTCAGTAAACATACATGTGCATGTGTCTTTATAGTAGCATGATTTATAATCCTTTGGGTATATACCCAGTAATGGGATCACTGGGTCAAATGGTATTTCTAGTTCTAGATCCTTGAGGAATCGCCACACTGTCTTCCACAATGGTTGAACTAGTTTACACTCCCACCAACAGTGTAAAAGTGTTCCTATTTCTCCACATCCTCTACAGCATCTGTTGCTTCCTGACTTTTTAATGATTGCCATTCTAACTGGTGTGAGATGGTATCTCATTGTGGTTTTGATTTGCATTTCTCTGATGACCAGTGATGATGAGCATTTTTTCATGTGTCTGTTGGCTGCATAAATGTCTTCTTTTGAGAAGTGTCTGTTCATATCCTTTGCCCACTTTTTGATGGGATTTTTTTTTTTGTAAGTTTGTGTAAGTTCTTTGTAGATTCTGGATATTAGCCCTCTGTCAGATGGGTAAATTGCAAAAATTTTCTCCCATTCTGTAGGTTGCCTGTTCACTCGGATGGTAGTTTCTTTTGCTGTGCAGAAGGTCTTTAGTTTAATTAGATCCCATTTGTCTATTTTGGCTTTTGTTGCCATTGCTTTTGGTGTTTTAGTCATGAAGTCCTTGCCCATGACTATGTCCTGAATGGTATTGCCTAGGTTTTCTTCTAGGGTTTTTATGGTTTTAGGTCTAACATTTAAGTTTTTAATCCATCTTGAATAAATTTTTGTATAAAGTGTGAGGAAGGGATCCAGTTTCAGCTTTCTACATATGGCTAGTCAGTTTTCCCAGCACCATTTATTAAATAGGGAACCCTTTCCCCATTTCTTGTTTTTGTCAGGTTTGTCAAAGTTCAGATGGTTGTAGATGTGTGGTGTTATTTCTGAGGCCTCTGTTGTGTTCCATTGGTCTATATCTCTGTTTTGCTACTAGTACCATGCTGTTTTGGCTACCATAGCCTTGTAGTGTAGTTTGAAGTCAGGTAGTGTGATGCCTCCAGCTTTGTTCTTTTTGCTTAGGATTGTCTTGGCAATGCAGGCTCTTTTTTGGTTCCATATCAACTTTAAAGTAGTTTTTTCCAATTCTGTGAAGAAAGTCATTGGTAGCTTGATGAAGATAGCCTTGAATCCATAAATTACCTTGGGCAGTGTGGCCATTTTCACGATATTGATTCTTCCTATCCATGAGCATGGAATGTTTTTCCATTTGTTTGTGTCCTCCTTTATTTCGTTGAGCTGTGGCTTGTAGTTCTCCTTGAAGAGGTCCTTCACATCCCTTGTAAGTTGGATTCCTGGGAATTTTATTCTCTTTGTAGCAATTGTGAATGGGAATTCACTCATGATTTTGCCATTTGTCTGTTATTGGTGTATAGGAATGCTTGTGATATTTGCACATTGATTTTATATCCTGAGACTTTGCTGAAGTTGCTTATCAGCTTAAGGAGATTTTGGGCTGAGAGGATGGGGTTTTCTAATTATACAGTCATGTCGTCTGCAAACAGAGACAATTTGACTTCCTCTTTTCCTATTTGAATACCCTTTATTTCTTTCTCTTGCCTGATTGCCCTGGACAGAACTTCCAACACTATGTTGAATAGGAGTGGTGAGAGAGGGCATCCTTGTCTTGTGCCAGTTTTCAAAGGGAATGCTCCCAGTTTTTGCCCGTTCAGTATGATATTGGCTGTGGGTTTGTCATAAATAGCTCTTATTATTTTGAGATATGTCCCATCAATACCTAGTTTATTGAGAGTTTTTAGTATGAAGGGATGTTGAATTTTGTGGAAGGCTTTTCTGCATCTGTTGGGAAAATCGTGTGGTTTTTGTTGTTTGTTTTGTTTATGTGATGGATTACATTTATTGATTTGCATATGTTGAACCAGCCTTGCATCCCAGGGATGAAGCCAACTTGATCGTGGTGGATAAGCTTTATGATGTGCTGCTGGATTTGGTTTGCCAGTATTTTATTGAGGATTTTCGCATCGATGTTCATCAGGGATATGGGTCTAAAATTCTCTTTTTTTGTTGTGTCTCTGCCAGGCTTTGGTATCAGGATGATGCTGGCCTCATAAAATGAGTTAGGGAGGATTCCCTCTTTTTCTATTGATTGGAATAGTTTCAGAAGGAATGGTACCACCTCCTCTTTGTACCTCTGGTAGAATTCAGCTGTGAATCCATCTGGTCCTGGACTTTTTTTGGTTGATAGGCTATTAATTATTGCCTCACTTTCAGAGCCTGTTATTTGTCTATTCAGAGACTGAACTTCTTCCTAGTTTAGTCTTGGGAGGGTGTATGTGTCCAGGAATTTATCCATTTCTTCTAGATTTTCTAGTTTATTTGCGTAGAGGTGTTTATAGTATTCTCCAATGGTAGTTTGTATTTCTGTGGGATTGGTGGTGATATCCCCTTTATCATTTTTATTGCATCTATTTGATTCTTCTCTCTTTTCTTCTTTATTAGTCTTACTAGCGGTCTATCAATTTTGTTGATCTTTTCTAAAAACCAGCTTCTGGATTCATTGATTTTTTGAAGGGTTTTTGTGTCTCTGTCTCCTTCAGTTCTGCTCTGATCTTAGTTATTTCTTGCCTTCTGCTAGCTTTTGAATTTGTTTGCTCTTGCTTCTCTAGTTCTTTTAATTGTGATGTTAGGGTGTTGATTTTAGATCTTTCCTGCTCTCTCTTGTGGGCATTTAGTGCTATAAATTTCCCTCTACACACTGCTTTAAATGTGTCCCAGAGATTCTGGTACATTGTGCCTTTGTTCTCGTTGGTTTCAAAGAATATCTTTATTTCTGCCTTCATTTTGTTATTTACCCAGTAGTCATTCAGGAGCAAGTTGTTCTGTTTCCATGTAGTTGTGTGGTTTCGAGTGAGTTTCTTAATCCAGAGTTCAAATTTGATTGCACTGTGGTCTGACAGTTTGTTGTGATTTCTGTTCTTTTATATTTGCTGAGGAGTGCTTTACTTCCAACTATGTGGTCAATTTTTGAATAAGTGCAATGTGGTGCTGAGAAGAATGTATATTCTGTTGATTTGGGGTGGAGAGTTCTGTGGATGTCTATTAGGTCAGCTTGGTGCAGAGCTGAGTTCAAGTCCTGGATATCGTTGTTAACCTTCTGTCTCGTTGATCTGTCTAATATTGACAGTGGGGTGTTAAAGTCTCCCATTATTATTGTGTGGGAGTCTAAGTCTCTTTGTAGGTCTTTAAGGACTTGCTTTATGAATGTGGGTGCTCCTGTATTGCATGCATAGATATTTAGGATAGTTAGCTCTTCTTGTTGAATTGATCCCTTTACCATTATGTAATGGCCTTCTTCGTCTCATTTGATCTTTGTTGGTTTAAAGTCTGTTTTATCAGAGACTAGGATTGCAAACCCTGCTTTTTTTTGCTTTCCATTTGCTTGGTAGATCTTCCTCCATCCCTTTATTTTGAGCCTGTGTGTGTCTCTGCACGTCAGATGGGTCTCCTGAATACAGCACACTGATGGGTCTTGACTATCCAATTTGCCAGTCTGTGTCTTTTAACTGGGGCATTTAGCCCATTTACATTTAAGGTTAATAATGTTATGTGTGAATTTGATCCTGTCATTATGATGTTAGCTGGTTATGATGTTAGCTGCGCATTAGTTGATGGAATTTCTTCCTAGCATCAATGGTCTTTACAATTTGGCATGTTTTTGCAGTGGCTGGTACCGGTTGTTCCTTTCCATGTTTAGTGCTTCCTTCAGGAGCTCTTGTAAGGCAGGCCTGGTGGTTACAAAATATCTCAGCATTTGCTTCTCTGTAAAGGATTTTATTTCTCCTTCACTTATGAAGCTTAGTTTGGCTGGATATGAAATCCTGGGTTGAAAATTCTTTTCTTTAAGAATGTTGAATATTGGCCCCCACTCTCTTCTGGCTTGTAGAGTTTCTGCCGAGAGATCCGCTGTTAATGTGATGGGCTTCCCTTTGTGGGTAACCCGACCTTTCTCTCTGACTGCCCTTAACAGTTTTTCCTTCATTTCAACTTTGGTGAATCTGACAATTTTGTGTCTTGGGGTTGCTCTTCTCAAGGAGTATGTTTGTGGTGTTGTCTGTATTTCCTGAATTTGAATGTTGGCCTGCCTTGCTAGGTTGGGGAAGTTCTCCTGGATAATATCCTGAAGAGTGTTTTCCAACTTGGTTCCATTCTCCCTGTCACTTTCAGGTACACCAATCAAACGTAGATTTGGTCTTTTCACATAGTCCCATATTTCTTGGAGGCTTTGTTCATTTCTTTTTACTCTTTTTTCTCTAAACTTCTCCTCTCACTTTATTTCATTAATTTGAACTTCAATCACTGATACTCTTTCTTCCACTTGATTGAATTGACTACTGAAGATTGTTCATGTGTCACGTAGTTCTCATGCCATGGTTTTCAGCTCCATCAGGTCATTTAAGTTCTTCTCTACACTGTTTATTCTAGTTAGCCATTTGTCTAATCTTTTTTCAAGGTTTTTAGCTTCCTTGCAATGAGTTCAAACATCCTCCCTTAGCTCGGAGAAGTTTGTTATTACTGACCTTCTGAAGCCTACTTCTGTCAACTCGTCAAAGTGATTCACTGTCCCGCTTTGTTCCGTTGTTGGCGAGGAGCTGCAATCCTTTGGAGGAGAAGAGATGCTCTGGTTTTTAGAATTTTCAGCTTTTCTGCTCTGGTTTCTCCCCATCTTTGTGGTTTTATCTACCTTTGGTCTTTGGAGTTGGTGACCTACAGATAGGGTTTTGGTGTGGATGTCCTTTTTGTTGATGTTGATGCCATTCCTTTCTGTTTGTTAGTTTTCCTTCTAACAGTCAGGTCCCTCAGCTGCAGGTCTGTTGGAGTTTGCTGGAGGTCCACTCCAGACCCTGTTCCCCTGGGTATCACCAGCAGAGGCTCAGTTGGAAATGCAGAAATCACCCGTCTTCTGCATCAATCACACTGTGAGCTGCAGGCCAGAGCTGTTCCTATTTGGCCAGCTTGGAATGGGAAAAACTCTTTTTTTTTTTTTTTTTTTACCCCATTTATTCCTTTATGTAGGAAGACTGATAGTTAAATGTCTAAAAGACAGACAACAGATAAAAGGCAAGAGAAAAGTAATTTTTTTTTATCCTGGCATCACAGGCTTAATCATGTCAAGTTTCAAAACAACCCCAGCAGTCATCTGACCCTGTTCCTGCAGTTACCTAGTGGAAGGGTAGTGTCAAGAGTGATAAAAGTGTAAGAATATTTACCTGTGGTTTCCTTCTTAAAATAAAGTGGAAGCCAGGCACAGTGGCTCACACCTGTAATGCCAGAGCTTTGGGAGGCCAAGGCAGGATGATCCGTTGCAGTCAGGGTTTCAAGACCAACCTGGACAACATAGCAAGACCTCATTTCTACAAAAATTTAAAAATTCGCTGGGTGAGGTGATGCATGCCTGTAGTCCTAGCTACTTGGGAGGCTGAAGCAGGAAGATTGCTTGAGCTCAGTTGTTTGAGGTTACAGTGAGCTATGATTGCTTAACTATACTCCAACCAGGACAACAGAGTAAGACTCTGTCTTTAAAAAAAAATTAATTAATTAATTAATTAATTAAAACAATAAAATAAAGTGAAGAAGATTCAAAGTTCCACTATCTACAGGTCTGTCAGGAGAAACAGATAATAGAGAAATGATAACAGCCGGTACCCACAGAGTGCTACTTACTACATGCCAGGTGCTGTCCTAAGCACTTTACATCTGCGAACTCATTATTCAGTTGAGGGAACTGAAAGAATCTTCGCTTTCAACCGTCAGTTATATTGCCTTTTCACAGGCAAGGCAATTGCAGTTATGTTGCAATTTTCAATTGCATCTGCAATCAGATGCAAAGGAATTGCTAAAGACTCAGTAGTTGAGGGCTATATTTTGAGCCAGGACCAAAGCAAAGAACTACTTTCATTTATAATAAGGGCCCAGATGCAGGAAGTAGACATCTCAGACAGTGTGGTGTGAGAGCAGTGTGGGATGGCAAAAAGAGGATCCAGGCCATCCTGGAAATAGTCCTTTGGCCACAGAAGTTAATTGTTACCATCAGTGCCTTAGAAAGTAAGAAGTAGTGACTGACATCAGGACTCCAAAACTGGGTAAAGTTCAGAATAGATGCAGTCATTCTTCTTTTGTCATCTTCACGAAATCCTGAATTATGAAATTCCTCTGGGAATATTTATATGTTGATACCTGCACAAAATAGACCCTACGTGATAATAATCATCTCTATTTTGGTGCATAGTTTTCTGTATTTCCTGTGTGCATGTGTGTGTATGTGCACACACGTGTTTGCGTGTGTGCATGTGTATGTGAGTGTATGTGTGTGGTGTGAATGTTTTCAATATGCATCAAGGGCCTGGACAATGTGATATATGCGTGTTTGTTACTTTTAATCTAGAAATAGGAATTTAGCATTTGAAGTGCCCTAATCAGGAATATACTCTCCAGGATAGGTTTGAAATGTTTTTCTCAGGTCTCCACATTCCAGAGGACCTGTTACAAGTGGTTTGACTATTGCTATCTCAATGTACTAGTTGTTAATATACTTTTAAAATGATAGAAATAGTTTTCAGTTGGCAAAATGTGCGATGTTTAAAATATGTGGATTAGCCAGGCACAGTGGCATGTGTGTGTGATCCTTCTCAGGTGTCTGAGGTGGGAGGATTCCTTAAGCACAGGAGGTTTTTGTCTGTTTTTGATTTGTTTTTGTTTTGTAGAGAAGGTGTCTTGCTATGTTGTACAGGCTGGTCTCAAACTCCTGGCCTCAAGAGATCCTCGTGCCTTGGCCTCCCAAAACACTGGGATTATAGGAATGAACCACCATGGCCAGCCAAGCCCAGAAGTTTGAATCCTGCCTGGGCAACATAGCAAGACCCCATCTCTAAGAAAATAAAATAAACTTAAATTTAAAAAATAAAATGTGTGAGGCCGGGTGCGGTGGCTCACGCTTGTAATCCCAGCACTTTGGGAGGCTGAGGCAGGCAGATCACGGGGTCAGGAGATCGAGACCATCCTGGCTAACACGATGAAACCCCATCTCTACTAAAAATACAAAAAATTAGCCAGCATGGTGGCAGGCGCCTGTAGTCCCAGCTACTCGGGAGGCTGAGACAGGAGAATGGCGTGAACCCAGGAGGCAGAGGTTGCAACGAGCTGAGACCACGCCACTGCACTCCAGCCTGGGCGATAGAGCGAGACTCCGTTTCAAAATAAATAAATAAATAAAAATAAAATAAAATATTTGGATTAATTAGCAATACTGTAGAAGAATCTGTGTCCTTATATGTATAGAAGTGCATAAAATTTATGAGCCCAGCAGCCTATCTATATCTTTCAGAGTGGTCTTTGTGGCTCAGGCTCTGATTTGGACCTGAAGATTCTGCTACCTATTCTGAATAGTAAGTGAGCTTAACTTGGCTCTAGAATATTATTGCATCTGCCTTGATTAATTCTTTCCTGCAAGATACTTGGCAGTGTGCCAATGGTGGAGACAACCAGTTTTCTACCAAATAGTCCATTCTCCTCTTCTTCTTAGGTGCTTGGCTACACCACCCAATCCAGCTCACCTAACAGATAGCTGTATTCATGTGGCTAAGTTTCACCTGATGGCATGTGAGTAGAAGAATGTATACCTAGATTTCTGGGCCTACACCTTAAGAACATGAATATGCCTATTCTGAGTTCTTGTTCCCTTCTTGCCATTTGGTTGGCTAGAACTTTGCTATGCAGACAACAAAAGGCCCAGAGAGTAGTGCAGAATCACGTTGGAAGGAACCTGAGCCCCTGAGTGGCTCATGAAGCAGACCACCTGCCACCTTGGAACATTCACCTTGGACTGTTGCTTTAAACCACTGTATTATTATTACAGCAGCTTTTCCTTATCTCATCCGATACAGTGCCTAAGGGACTGAGCTGAGCTTGTAAGAAGAGCACGCCTGCTTGCTAATGATTACAGCGGTAGCAGAATTCCATCTAGGGCTGGATACCAAGGTAACATGCAAACATTTAGTGAGTCTGGGGGGAACAGCAACACAAAGCCCTACCCTACCTCTTACTTTTAGAGGCCTTCAACATCTCCCAGTAAGAATCTAACAGGTGTTTAAAAATGCAGATTTTGTTCACAGCTAATATTATACACTACAGTGAAAATGGAAAGCCTTTCTTCTAAGATCAGAACAACGCAGAGATGTCCATTCTTGCCACCTCTATTCAACATAGTATTGGAAATCCTAGCTACAGCAATTAGGCAAGAGAAAGAAATAAAAGACATTCCCCAAATAGGAAAGGGAGAAGTTAAATTACACCTGTTTGCCAATAACGTGTCCTTATATATAGAAAACCCCAGAGACTCCACCAAAAAACTGTTAAGATAAACAAATACAGTAAAGTTGTAGGATCCAAAATCAACACACAAAAATCAGTACACTGAAAACTATTTAAAAAATAATTAGAAAAATAGAAGACACAAATAAATGGAAAGATAGCTCATGCTCATGGACTGGAAGGATTAAAGTTGTTAAAACGTCCATATTACCCAAAGTGATCTATACAATGGAATACTATTCATCTACGTCTGGGTGCCTTAGACTGCAGAATTATCTGCCCAAACCACTTGGAGCCTATTTACAGGGCTAGTACATTCTCTTTCCTGATTAAGTCCTCCTAAGGGCAGACTGCACAGCTGGAGTACACAACCCTAATGGCTAAGGATGCCCAGGGGACACACATTTTATGAAGTGGGTGTGGTTAGAGCTTAGCTATGCAGCATCAGGTGTCCACACATGTGTCCACAAAGCCCTTTGTAGTGTAGGATGGGGCATAGGTAGAAATAAAAGAGGAAATGCCCTCAGACCAGGGATGGGCAGCCAGGGAGCCAGCTGTCTCCATAATCTGGAGACCCCAAGAAGTCTGAGAATTCTAAATAGGAACCTGCCCTTCCAGGTTATTATAAAAGTGTATTTGTCAAGATGTGAGGGTAGAACATATTTTATTTAACAGTTCGTTACAAATATTTAGACCTGGCCGGGCACGGTAGCTCACACCTGTAATCCCAGCACTTTGGGAGGCACCTTTGCCCTAAGGGCCTTCAGCAGAGGCATTTCCACCAATGAACAAGTCATCAGTGTTACCCTGCGTCCTACTTACCATCTTTCCCTCCAACTCCAGGCAAGCCTGTCTGCAATCTCCCAAATCTTATACATGTTGAACTATTGTGGCTGATGATGCCAGGGTAGGTAATCATGAGAGCAGCTAAAGGGAGACCATGGTGTTGCTAACTTAGCAGAAGCCTGGAGCTCAGAGCGAGTGCAGGGTAGCCAGAGTGGCACTGGGTGGGGAAGTGGGTGGAAATGCGGGATTGCTTTCTTGATTTCTTTTTAATTAGTTCATCCTGGTTATATAGAAACTACCAATTTTTGTATATTGGTTTTTGTATCCTTCAACTTTACTGGATTTACTTATCATTTGTAAGACTTTTTTGGTAGTCTTTAGGTTTTTCTAAGTATAAGATCATGTCATCTGTAAAGAGAGACACTTTCACTTCTTTTCCAACTTGGATTATGTCCTTATTTCTTCCTCTTTCCTAATCGATCAGGCTAGGACTTCCAGCACTATGTTGAATAAGAATAGTAAAGGTGAGCATCATTGTCTTATTCCAGTTCTTAGAGGAAAGGCTTTTAGCTTTTCCCCAGGTGGTATGATGTTAGCTGTGGGTTTGTCATATATGGCTTTTGTTATTTTGAGGTATGTTTCTTTTACGCCTAACTTGTTGAGACGTTTTATCATGAAGGATGTTAAATTTTATCAAATGCTTTTTCTGTGTTTATTGAGATGATCATATGGTTTTTGTCCTTCCTTTGGTTAATGTATCACATTTATTGATTTGCATATGTGGAACCATTTTTTGCATTCCTGGGATAAATCCCACTTGATCATGGTGTATTATATTTTTGATGGTTGTTAGATTTAGTTTGCTAGTATTTTGATGAGGATTTTTACATCTATGTTCCTGAGAGATATTTTTCTCTCATAGTTTTCTTTTTTTGTGTGTCCTTGTCTGGTTTTAGCATCAGGTAATGCTGGCCTTACAGAATGAGTTAGAAAGATTTCCCTCCTCTTTAATTTTTTGGAATGATTTGAGAAGAATTAGTGTTAGTTCTTTATAAGCTTGATAGAATTCAGCAATAAAGTGATCCAGTTCTGGGCCTTTCTTTGTGGGGAGAGTTTTTATTATGATGTAATCTCATTATTGGTCTGTTGAGGTTTTCTGTTTCTTCCTGGTTTAATCTTAGAAGGTAGTATGTTTCCTGGTATTTAATCAATTCCCTCTAGGTTTCCTAGTTTTTGAGCATATAGTTGTTCATAATTCTCGCTGATGACCTTTTGCATTTCTGGTGTCTGTTGTCATGTCTCCTTTTTCATTTCTGATTATGTTTATTTGGATCTTATCTCTTCTTGGTTATTCTAGCTAGCAGTTTATCAATTTTGTTTTTCTTTGCAAAGAACCAACTTTTTGTTTCATTGATCTTTTGTCTCTTTCATTATTTATCATTGCGGTTTGGTGGTTTTCTGTAGTGGTAACATTTGATTCCTTTCTCTTTCTCATTTGTGTATCTGCTATGCCAGTGAGTTTTACAGTCTTATGTGTTTTCTTGATGGTAGACATCATCCTTTCTGTCATGTGTGTCCATGTGAAGAGACCACCAAACAGGCTTTGTGTGAACAACAAGGCTGTTTATTTCACCTGGGTACAGGCGGGCTGAGTCCGAAAAGAGAGTCAGCAAAGGGAGATGGGGTGGGGCTGTTTTACAGGATTTGGGTGGGTAGTGGAAAATTACAGTCAAAGGGGGTTTTTCTCTTATGGGCAGGGGCGGGGGTCACAAGGTGCTCAGTGGGGGAGGTTCTGAGCCAGGAGGAGGAATTTCACAAGGTTAATAGTTCAGTTAAGGTGGGGCAGGAACAAATCGCAATGGTGGAATGTCATCAGTTAAGGCAGGAACAGGCCATTTTCACTTTTGTGGATCTTCAGTTGCTTCCGGCCATCTGGATGTATATGTGCAGGTCACAGGGCATATGATGGCTTAGCTTGGGCTCAGAGGCCTGACACTTTCACTTCTAGATGAAGGACTCTCAAACATTTCTTGTAGGACTGGTCTAGTGGTGATGAATTCCCTCAGTTTAAAGTATTTCTTTTAAACAAATGAACACTTTTCTCTAGATAGTGAATCTAAATCTCCTCCAGCTTGTTCCATTGCAGATTGACTTATATAATTTGGTCTGAAGATAATTCATCTTAGAGAAGATGATGCACTCAAAACAGAGAAGATGTTAAGAGGCTTTTGAAACTATAAAGCAGTCCCACTGCTGTTGTCCGAGTTTATCAACTCTTTTGCAAATTATGTATGAGTCAACACTACTGCTTACCTGGCTTCTACTTTATGAGTAACAGCTAAATAAATGAGTCTAACTTGGAGAAAATCAATGTTCATTTTCTTTTGCAGTTGTCATCTGCAGCAGGACCTCACTTGAGTACTGCCTCTGAGCCTAGGTTCTGAAAGCTAGTTTAAAATTCCCTCTTTAAGTTTGTCTGCTGAATGTTCTGTGACAAATTCCCTTTCACGCACGTCCATGTGAAGAGACCACCAAACAGGCTTTGTGTGAGCAACAAGGCTGTTTATTTCACCTGGGTGCAGGTGGGCTGAGTCCGAAAAGAGAGTCAGGGAAGGGAGATAGGGGTGGGGCCGTTTTATAAGATTTGGGTAGGTAAAGGAAAAAGGGGGGTTTTTCTCTGGTGGGCAGGGGTGGGGGGTCACAAGGTGCTCAGAGGGGGAGCTTTTGAGCCAGGATGAGCCAGGAGAAGGAATTTCACAAGGTAATGTCATCAGTTAAGGCAGGAACAGGCCATTTTCACTTCTTTTGTGGCGGAATATCACCAGTTAAGGCAGGAACCGGCCATCTGGATGTATACATGCAGGTCACTAGGGATATGATGGCTTAGCTTAGGCTCAGAGTCCTGACATTCCCTACTTCATCTCTCATGCTGAATATAGTCCCTGCAGGATACTTTAATTTTTTGGAATGATTTTTAAAGATTGGTGTTACTTTGGTAATAATAATTGTTTTTATTTTGGTAAATATTTAACTTTAATCAGGTCTTCATTAGACTTAAACTAGTTGACTTCAATAGTCATGGAATGCCTTTAATATTCAAGAAAATAAAAAATAGGCTGGGCATGGTGGCTTATGCCTGGAATCCCAGCATTTTGGGAGGCCAAGGCAGGAGGACTGTTTGAGCTCAGAAATTTGAGACCAGCCTGGGCAACATGGCAAAATCCTATCTTTACTAAAAATACGAAAATTAGCCAGGAATGGGGGCATGTGCCTGTAGTCCCAGCTACTCAAGAGGCTGAGTGAGTATTGCTTGTGCCCAGGAGGTCGAGGGTACAGTGAGCCGAGATCATGCCACTGCACTCCAGCCTGGGTGACAGAGTGAGTGAGACCCTGTCTCAAAAAAAACAAAAAAACAAACAAACCAAAAACCAAAAACTAAAACAAAACAAAACAAAAACAAAAACAAAAAAACTCAAGAAAATAAAAACGAATATAAAATTCTAGAAGAATACTACAGCTCATATGTTAAATGTAAGTCAATAATAAAGTTTTTATGAAATGTTATCCCTTTTAAAAGAGTTCTTCTTATGAATATAGGTTTCTTAGTGTATATTTCAAGAATAAACAGTAAGACAGTTTGTTTCTGCCATCCCAAGCTACCTGAGATTAAAAACTATATTTTCTAAAATTGAGTTGCTGGCAAGGAATTTGTCTTATCATACTTATTCAGAATTTGTTTTTCTAGGCCAGTAATGCCTGTAATCTCAGCACTTTGAGAGACCAAAGTGGGAGGATCACTTGAGCCCAGGAATTCAAGCCCACCCTGGGCAACACAGCAAGACCCTGCCACTCCATTATTTTTTAAAATAAAAAATAAATAAATAAAAATTTGTTTTTCTATAGCCTAAAGAAAAATAATTGCCTCTGTTAACATTACATTTCCAAGAAAAATTGTCTGCAAATAGTTTAATTTTAGATGATTACCCCTCTCCAAGGTAGGGCTGGAAGGAGGATAAATTTGGCAGAGACATAGGTTGCACATACTGATCTCAGTTTCTGTTAGGTGCATATAAATAAAAAAAAGTTTCTTCATTTTATTAAAGCCCTATTTTTGTATCATTTTTAGTAATGTATATACCAACATAAATGCTTGATCTCAGTCTCTCCTGATAATTACAAATCAACATATCCAATGCTTAAAGTTACTGTTAAATTAATGTAGAATTGTCAGGTCTTCATTAGAAGTAGTAAGTAGAACACAGAGATTGGTCAAATTTTTCAGTACTTATACTTTTGAAAAAAAGAAAAGAGTATTCTATTCCTGCCAATTAGTATAGTCTTTACCCTGATAAACAATGTCAATATACATTATGATTTTAATTATAAACCCCCTGGAGACAGCAAGTATGTTTATATTTTATTAGTCATTGTACTTAAGAAGCCCCAAAGCTCTCTATTCCTAGTTCAGATTTTCTTTTGTTTGTGTGTGTTTTTGTTTTTTTTTGGATGAAGGTTAAGAGGAAGCTTTCTTTCTTACTTAAAGGTTTGTATGCTGGGCAGATAGTTAATGGTACAGAAATCCAAGCTTTATTTGGGGGAACAAGAGAGCAGACAGGACATAGAGGTCTTATTGGCAGAAGTGGCAAAGTAGGGGACAATCTTTCATAGGATCATAAAATTATAGCCCCCAAACACAATCTAGTGAAATCACCTTGTTTCTAAGAAGGTTTTCACAAAGAGCTAATACTAAAGAATTGGGGTTACAGAATACATGGTATTATCCATGCCAAATACAAACACATGGACATCTTTATTGGAGGAGAAATTTGTTCTGCTCAAGAGCATCTTAAAGATTTCTATTTCCCAGTCATTATTCTTTCCCACAATCCCCTCCCAATAATTAGTCCAGAGGTAGGTCTGGGTTCCCATGGTGGCAGGATATTCAAATATCTCAAGATGGCTCACCATGTCATGAATGACATCTTAATTAATCAGTCTTCAAACAGGGGACACAGTGAGAATAAGGACTCCATGTTTCCTGATCTCAAAACACACTTGAGAGTTAAGAGCATGGGAATGACACTTCTGTGAATTACCACTTGGTGCCTGTTCATTTTTCTCTTCTGAGCAAAGTCCTCTCTTGTGAAATTCTAATACTTTGCATAGAATATTCAGAATTTCCAGACCTCATCGTTGAAGATTTCTTTTGCCTTCACAGTCATAAATATGTTGTAAGATTTGTGTTCCCAAGATCAAAGACAGGTCTCACAAGGGGTCCCCTGCTCTACTACCAGGACACCAACATTTGTTCTTGGTGCATCTTACATCAGCAATCTTTGAAATTCATTAGGTGAGGTCCTATATCCTTTGTTGTATCAGTCATCATCCCCAGCACAGGTTAAACCTCAGATTTCTCCACTCTAAGTGTCCTTGCCCTCAGGGAGGGTGACAGGATGTGGGGTTTCTTTCCAATGTTTTAGGACACACTCATAGCAAAACATGTCCACATCCTGTTGCAATCAGTGTGGTCAAATAGTGTGGAACAAATCAGCCCTTCCTGATATCTTCTGCATCTGAGGCAACCGTGTCCCTTATATGATGTCTGTAGTCAAAGGTTAGACTAGACTAGACAAAGGTTGGTTAGAAAACCAACTCTCAACCACAGACCTTGGTAGTTTCACAACTGTTTTTAAATAATCTCTTACTTCCTCCTTCCTCTCCCTTATCAATGGGGAAATGGTGGGAGTCTCTGGAGCAGAAGCCATAAGCTAATGAAATGTCATGGGACTGGACACACTAATGTTAAGGTCTATGGGCTTTACATCCACAGTTCCAAAAATCTGTCATCTCAGAGCATTAGCATCCAGCTATTTTTTTTTTAGTTTTTGTAGAGATGGGGTTTCACCATATTGGCCAGACTGGTCTTGAACTCCTGGCCTCAAGTGATCCACCTGTGTCGGCCTCCCAAAGTGCCCTGAACCAATACGCCTGGCCAAGTGTGTCTCTCTTTAAATAACTCTCCCCCTTTTTTTCTGTTCCACATCATCCTGTTTGGAAGATAGAGATTTCATTTTGCAGCACTTCTCCCAAACACTTGTCATCTTCCCTTTGGGAGTCTCTGTCCAGGGAATCTTATTATTTAGGAAAAATTTTTAGATGTGTCTTACCAAAGTCTCGGATATATATCTAATGATGTCCAACTCTCCCTATCATGAACTCTAGAATAACCTGACCACTTTTGCCCATGGGTTTCTGTCACTTCTACTTTTCAGACTGGTTCCTTCCGGTGGCCAGCATTTGGTACTTCCTCTACTTTCTGTGAAGACTCTCATTTAGTTAAAAAAAAGAAAAAAAAAATTACTGATGCCGTGGAGCATAGTATTTGTAGATACAAAGGACCTCAGAGGTCAGCCCCTCTCACTTGTTATATGAGGCATCTAAAGTTCTAAGGACTGAGATGTTTGCCCAAGGTCATGTAGTTAATAAATATCATCTATATCAGGCCACTTCGTATGATTGGGCAGGATGTTTATTACCAAAAAGCAACCACCTGACGGGTGAGTAGGGACCAAAATCCAGTCTGTGCTCCTCTTGCCTTGCCAAGCTGTGAGTCCTGCTTAGGACTCTATGCCACACCCCACCACCAGAGAAAAAGGCCTCTCTGTGATTTTTATAAAGGCACTATTTGGCTAATAGTGACGCTAATCTATATGTAAACTTTTCTTCTAATTATCTCAAACCTAAGTGTTAGAAAAAAGTTAATTAGGAAGAAACTTTGCATTTTTATTTTAAAGGAATTAGTATCCTATAACTTTTATGTTCCTAACAATTCTTACATCTTTTTCAAATGCTATTTGTTAATTCTTAAGCAATCTTGGCATTCACAGATTGGGTTGTTTGTTTGTTTGTGGAAACAAGGTCTCACTATGTTGCCTAGGCTGGTCTCAGACTCCTGGGCTCAAGCAGTTCTCCCGCCTCAGCCCCCCAAAGTGCTGGAACAACAGGGATGAGCCACCATGCCTGGCCAGATTTGATCATTTTTGCTTCACCTACTCAAATTATGGGGATGGGGTACAGATTCATTTTTGCTTCACCTACTCAAATTATGGGGATGGGATACAGGTTCAGACTAGGGTCTCAGGATCCAGGACTCTGCTTGAGAATAAGAAGGGCTGGCCCAGGGTTATAGGGTGGAACCAAAGAGAGACTTATGCCCCCACCCACATAAGGGCAGCTTTCTGTCTGATACAAAGGACCTAGTCCAAGGAGACAAGAACTTAATCACAAGGGAAAAGTCTGGAGTAGAGGACAGGACAGAGAGTAGTTCAGAGGCAGACGCTGGAAAGATTTCCTGAGACAAAGGTTCCTGGGGAGTGTTCTTTTGTAGGGGCCTCCTGTGTGCTTTGGATAAAACTGGAAAGTCCAAAAGGCCTAGTCAGCCTGCAGAGCTCCGAGGCAATGCAACAATGCCACTGGAGGTCAAGAGGAGGCGATGACATCAGAGACCAATGACCTGGTTTCAGTGGGACAAAACACTGCAACAAGAGCCCAGCAAGTGCCCACTGGGCCAAACAAAAGCCCACTGTGAACCAGCCACAACACCACCAATGCCACGTGAGTGCATAAACTTTCCCTCTCCCCAAGGCCATCTTGGCTAAGGGAAGAGGAGAGAAGAAAATGCCTAAAACGCTGAGCATTTCCCCAAAAGAGATTAGGTTAACCCCAAAGTAGACTCTGGCTACCTTTACTTGGAAAGTTTATGTTTGGTGATCTACCTTCACTTCATCACTCTATCTCGCCATCAGAGGAAACGGGGCCTTCTGGACAAGAAGAGAATAGTTACAGAAAACAAGAAGGCTACGTGTTCAAGCTTTGAATTCAACTTAACCCCATTACACCTGGTCCCTCGGATCCCAGAGGACATGCTTTGCACATTATTCAGAAGTTACAGAGTTCAAATATAAACGTAGATGACTCTTTTGATGCCCTTGAGGTTGGCTTTTATGCATCAAAAAAGGTTATTCAGAGGTTACTTAGCTTTAAAAATTAATATTTAATTTACTAAAGTTACAACTTAAAAACTTCGCTTACCGCCAGGCATGGTGGCTCATGCCTGTAATTCCAGTACTTTGGGAGGCCAAGGCGGGCGGATCACAAGGTCAGGAGTTCGAGACCAGCTTGGCCAACATGGTGAAACCCCATCTCTACTAAAAATACAAAAATTAGCTGGGCATGGTGGTGCACGCCTGTAATCCCAGCTACTCAGGAAGCTGAGGCAGGAGAATTGGTTGAACCTCGGAGGCGGAGGTTGCAGTGAGCCAAGATTACCCCACTGCACCCCAGCCTGGGTGACAGAGCGAGCGAGACTCCATCTCAAAAAAAAAAAACTTCATTGACCTTAAGATTTAAGTTCAACTTAGAATTCTTGTTGTTCTTTCAGAAATATAGCAAATTTTAAAAGCACTTGAAGGGCCTAAATATGGTTTGGTTCCATTAACAAATGCTATTAGATAAACTCCTTAAAACCTCTTAAAGTGCATTTATAAATTTAACATTATTTATTTTCTTAATATCAATAATTATTCAATTTAATGTCAAAACTTTCCTGGGAACCTAAATAATGCATACAAATCTAGTAGATCAAACACATAAATATGGTGATTTTTAAGTTCTTAAAAGATCTTAGTAACAATCTGACTTAGAATGTAAGTCACTCCCTTTGGTGTTTAGGAAACACAAGACTGATCTCTAGTTTCAACAGACCAAATTCTCTTAAACATTGCAACTACTTACAGTAAGTAATGTACACATTAATACAAAAATATGAATACTGTAGATAATATCCTCTTAAACATTTCTACTCCTAAATCTAAATCTTCGCAAGGTTGGAATATGATTACCCACCATATTAGTTTGCAAGAACTGCTATGACTAAATACCACAAACTGGGTGGCTTAAGCAACAGAAATTTATTTTCTCATAGTTCTGGAGGCTGGAAAGTCCAAGGAGTCAGTAGGTTTGGTTTCTTCTGAGGCCTCTCTTCTTGGCCTGCAGAGACCAGCCTTCTCACTGTGTCCCCAGGTGGTCTTTCTTCTGTGTATATACATCCTTAGTGTCTATTTTTCTGTCCAAATTTCCTCTTTTTAAAAATTTTTCATTTTTTTTAATTTTTATTTTTTTGAGTTGGGGCCTTGCTCTGCTGCCCAGGCTGGAATGCAGTGGTGCAATCATGGCTCACTGCAGCCTCAACCTCCGGGCCTCAAGCAATTCTTCCCGCTCAGGTTCCTCAGGTGTACACTACCATGCCCGGCTAATTTGTGTATTTTTTATAGAGATGGGGGTCTCGATATGTTGCCCAGGCAGGTCTCAAACTCCTGCCCTCAAGCAATCCTCCTACCTCAGCCTCCCAAAGTGTTGGGATTACAGACATGAGTCACCAGCCCCACCCCAAATTTCTTCTTATTATAAGGACACCAGTCAGATTGGATTAGGACCCACATTAATGGCCTAATTTTAATTCAGTCACCTCTTTAAAGGCCCTATCTCCAGGCCAGGCATGATGGCTCACACCTGAAATTTCAGCACTTTGGGAGGCTGAGGTGGGCAGATCACCTGAGGTTAGAAGTTCAAGACCAGCCTGGCCAACATAGTAAAACCCCATATCTACTACTAAAAATACAAAAATAGCCAGGCATGGTGGCATGCACCTGTAGTCCCAGCTACTTGGGAGGCTGAGGTGGGAGGACCACTTGAACCCAGGAGGCGGAGGTTGCAGTGAGCCAAGATTGTGCTACTGCACTCCAGCCTGGTCAACAGAGCAAGACTCTGTCTCAAAATAAATAAAAAATAAATAAAGGACCTATCTCCTAATAAGTCCCATTCTGAGATACTCGGAGTTTGAGCTCCAACATATAAATTTGGAGGGGGAGACACAATTCAGCCCATAACATTCACCAGGGAGACCATTGTGTCAACCCAACAATTTGAGAGATGCCTTTCCAGGACAATTCCTTGCCAGGAGGATGACTGAATGTTGCTGGTGACCTTGATGGAACATACAGAGCCCTCCTTAGAGTGATTCTCAAGGGGTGGTCCTGTAGCCCTTAGAGTCCACATAGTCTACATCTCTATTTCTTACTTTTGCCTCATTACAGAGGACCACATCCCCATCCAGTCTGCTTGGTCAGCGTCCATATTTCTGCAAGTCTTTAATATAGTGTCTGTTATCTAGCTCTGAAGACCATGAGTTAGATGGAATTTTGCAGTTTTTCTATATCCTTCTTTCCTGGTAGAATCACAAAACTCTTTTAGATATTGAATTTATTTCTTTCAAACCTTTTATTCTAATAAAGGCTGAAAGAAAATACAATAGACCCATATATCCTTTGCTCAGGTTCAATGGTTGTTTGTTAACATTTTACCATATTTGCTTTCTCTTTCTCTCTCTCTGTCTCTCTCTTTCTCTCTTTCTGTCTCTCTCTCTCTCTCTCTCTCTCTCTGTGTGTGTGTGTGTGTGTGTGTGTGTGTGTGTGTGTGTGTGTGTGTGTATGTCTATGTGTCTGTCTGTCTATATTTGGCTGAGCCTTTTGAAAGTACATTGTAGAAGTCATGACACTTGCCAAGCGTGGTGGCTCACACCTTTAATCCCAGCACTTTGGGAGGCCGAGGCAGGCAGATCACGAGGTCAAGAAATCGAGACCATCCTGGCCAACCCACACGGTGAAACCCCGTCTCTCCTAAAAATACAAAAATTAGCTGGGCGTAGTGGCACATGCCTGTAGTCCCAGCCACTTGGGAGGCTGAGGCAGGAGAATCGCTTGAACCTGAGAGGTGGAGGTTGCAGTGAGCCAAGATCACGCCACTGCACTCCAGCCCGGGCGACGGAGCGAGACTCATCTCAAAAAAAAAAAAAAGACACTTCACCTATAAATATTAATACATTAATCTTCTCCTAGAAATATAGACAGTCTCATACATAAACAATACCCTTTTTATATCTAAAAATTAATAGTAATTTGATAATATCCTCTAATTTACAGTTTATATTCAAATTTCACAAATCCCATAAATGTCTTTTATAGGTGTGTTTTTCCAGAGCAGTATCCCATCATATATTTGCATTTGGTTATTATATCTCTTTAGTTCCCCTGCTTTTTTCCCCATAAGATTGGAATGCTCCATTAGGTGTTAAGGACACTGTTTGAGCACTTGGTTAAGATGGTGAGTGCCAGGTCTCTCTATGGTAACAGTTCTTTTCTTTTTGCAATTAGTGAACAATCTGTGGAGTGATTCTTTGTCACCATCGGGAAACAGAAAGACAGACGATATATAGATAGATCCTGGAAAAGTTCTTTAGTTTTCTTTACAAAAATAGCCAAAGAATTTATTGAGACTTCGTAAGTGTTAACATCTTCATTTTATTATACATAATTCAAGGTGCTGTTTCTCAAATGTGGGTAAATATATCCCCAGAGATATGCTGTAGAAGGCTGAGTTAGGCAAAGTGCACAGGACAGATCAGAACTTACAGGAATTATTTTATGTGGTGATATTAACACAATGTAAAAACGCTTTCATGCTGAGACAATTGCAGATATATTAATGGAGTAAAATGTAAATCCACACATATTTTTTAAATGAAGCATGCAAATTCAAAGAAAATTTGAGCTTAGGGAGTTTAAAATAGGCTGCTTTGGACTATTTCCCTAACCTCCCAGAAGTCCTTTTCTACTTTTCTGTCCTGAAGAGGATGGTCATAGGAAAGTGTGAGAAGTGCTGGCTTTAGAGAACATATCTGTATTTTGTCCCTGAGGAACTGGTGGGAACCTCTCTTCTAGAGTATCTAAAGGAATCACCCCTGCTCCCATGTAAGCGACTCCAATTCTGCTGAAACTCCTGTTTGCCACTTTTCAGGGGCACATTTGTCAAGCTATTCTGGGCTCGTGTCAAATGCACTCAGATGGCTTTCTTGGTTCCTAGTCCTTATTATTATTTGCAGATCGTTCTTGGTCTTTTTTAATGCAGTATGTTCAATGTTTGACTTAAGTATCATTTATTAGTTGATTTTTTTTACAACGTTTTCTCCCTTCAACACTCAACTAGGCAATGCAGGCAGTCTGTTGTCTCTGTTACCCAGGAATCACACCTTGCTGTAATGTATGCTTTTCCTTTATCAACCTTTCCTGTCCTTGCAACCCAACAGATCGCCGATCCAGGAACACACATTACAGCAAGCTGCCATCGTTGGGGTCATCTGCCCCTTTGGGAAGGGAGCTTAATTGGGCTCCAAGATGAAAATGTATTTCCCTTACTTACAATACTTTAACCAGTGCTGAATTACCCAACACTCAGACAAAGTACGCATTTGACCAGTGTTAAACTAAGGCACAATAAAATTTTAAAGAGTTTATTTGAGTAGTGATTTGTGAATCAGGAAACACCAAATCAAAGCTGGTTTGGGCTCTGCCAAGGGGATGCAAGAGGAAGTCTTTTACAGGGTGCACATGAAGGTAAAGTGTCTTAGTTTTGTGTTGCTTCACAGAATACCACAGACTGAGTAATTAATGTATAGAGTAAAGAAATTTATTTCTCACAGTTCTGGAGACTAGGAAATCCAATATCAAGGTGCCAGCATCTGGCGAGGGCCTTCTTGCTGCATCACCCCATGGCAGAGGGTGGAAGGGCAAGCAAGCCAACTTGCAACCTCAAGCATTAATCCATTCGTGAAGCCCTCCTAGTCTAATCACCTCCCAAAGGTCCCACCTCTTGACATTGTTGCTTTGGGGGTTAAGTTTCCTACAAATGTTCTTGGGGAAACACATTCAAACCACAGCATAAAGCGAAGGAAAGAAATATTTGATTGGTTACAGTTATACAGTTGTCTTATTTGGTCTTTCCTACTGGAAATTTCCTAGTTAGTTACCTATAAATTAGATGGCGGCTTCTGATTGGCTGAACTTAAGTTTCATTTTACTTTAATGTAGACATTTACAAAAGAAATAACCCCAAGCTAAGTTTCTCTTACGTTTTCAAATCAAACATGGTCAGCGTTGCCTCCGTGGCTTAACTGACTTTGTTTGCTCAGGAATTCTTCAAGCCTGGTCTCCATTTTAATTTTCAACACCAGTAATAAAGCAGAAGGATCCAAAAATTATTTTTTGTGAGATAATTAAACATTCTCTCAAAGCATAAAATTTGTCAGCCTAGGCAAAGTAAGAGCTCTGTCTGACCACCTCATACTTATTTTATGATTTGCTGTAGTTTTAATTTTTAATTACATACCTGGGGAAGAAGGGAGAAATCATCTCTTCAGTGCTCAAGGTTTCTGCTGGTCTTAGTGGGTCTGTGGGCCATGCGTGTCCTGACACCACTGCCAGGCATCCTCCCCTAGCTGGCAACAGCTCAGGTCCATCCTGGCATGATCACTCTCTGGCATGCACTAAAACCATTAGAAAAGCCACAAGTTTGGGAACATACCTACATTTCCCTTAATTGTAATCCTTTGCTGGGAATAGACTTGTGGTCTATTACCTTGGGGATTACCATGCTTAGGTACTTCTAACAATGAGAACTAAACTCAGAGTTCACGGCCGCCTTTGTTCCTGACCATGGAAAAGGGAGTATGGCAGTGGCTGAGAATTAAGCTCTAGAACAGTGTTCCAAACTGGATCCAGAACCTTGGTTGGGGGAGTAATATATCTTTGTTTTCACTAACCTTAAAATAAAATTTAGCATTTTGCTTAATTATGAGTGTAGGCAAGAAACTCCAGTAGTTTTAACAAAACTCATGACTTTCCACTAGTAGAAATCACAGATATTTTTAGAGCCAATTCAATTGTTAGACATGCCTTGAAATATCATTTCACTCACTACTACTTCAAAATTATTGAAGTTTTTAGACCCCTGATAGGTACACAGTCTTCTTATAATCAGTGCTATTGAGCAATTATCAGCCTATTTCTCCCGTGTTCTGTATTGCTCATTCAGAGATATACATTGTTTCTCCGTAATTCCATGTCTACAAAGTTCTCTGTCCATTTATTTAAGAAGAGAAAGCTAAGTACATCTAGAGACACTTAAAACTCTTTCAACAACTATTTCTGTCATAATGGCATCAAAGCTGAACCATAAATTCACAGTCATATCCTTTTTAATATAAGTTGTATTGGTTCGAGACTAGCCTGGCCAACATGGTGAAACCCCATGTCTACTAAAAATACAAAAATTAGCCAGGCATGGTGGCACGTGCCTATAATCCCAGGTATTCAGGAGGCTGAGATAGGAGAATTTCTTGAACCCGGGAGGCGGAGGTTGCAGTGAGCCGAGATCGTACCACGGCACACCAGTCTGGGTGACAGAGCAAGACTTTTGTTACAAAAAAGAGAAAATTGGAGTCGAACTTTAAAAGTCTTAGATAATTCTGGTGTTCCTTGAGAGAAGCCTTGAAAAATCAGATATGAAAGCTGTCATTTCATTTGCAACAAAATATCTTTGTGAAACAAGATCTTTAACACTTGTAATTATCAAAACAAAAAATAAAATAGACAATGTCTACGAAGACATGCATATTGCATTGTTGTTTTAAAATGTAGGTTTTCATATTATTTAGGTATTGCAAGGCCAACAGATCAGGAGATGACTGCCATTGACAAGACAGTTGGTTATATTCACAGATCCCAAGAGAAGGGGATGCACCATGCCATGGGGCTGAGGGATGTGACATGTAGAACACTGGGGTCAGTCAGGAGGCAGAGACGGGAATATATGGGCAAGAGCCTTTTTTGGTCTCCTCGAGAAGGAACAGAGTGGGCAGCAGGGTAAGTAGGCCTCACATTGGCTGGCTTGAATAATTTCAGCGGGCTCTGGGGTGGAGGGAGTGTCTCTAGTTGTCAGGGGCCAGGTAGCAGGCCCTGGGGTGATTAGGCCAGGCAGACAGTGGCCTAGAGTGTAAGAAAACAATAAAGGACATGATTGAAGCCGGGCACAGTGGTGCACACCTGTAATGCCAGCACTTTGGGAGGCCGGGGCAGGCAGATCAGTTGAGCTCCAGGAGTTCAAGACCAGCCTGGGCACCATGGCAATACCCCGTCTCTACTAAAAATACAGAAATTAGCCAGGCGTGCAGTGAACTTAAATCACTCCACTGCACTCCAGCCTGGGCAACAGAGTGAGACCCTGTCTCAAAAAAAGAAGGTGATTTGGGTATGAGCTCTGGACTAGCTGGTTTGCATATGAAATGCACGCTCCCAGGTGGGTGAAGCATTTATTATCTCTAGGTATTGACTAGCCCTGGGAATGGCAGTCTCTCTAGGGTCACAAGGCCCCAGATGTCAAATATCAAATACAGAAACTAGAAAATGTGGTTATTACACTTGACAAAGTTTGTCGCACTTTCTAATCTTCTTATTCAAGCCAAGGAACAATAGCCTTCATGCCAATATGTCTTAAAATATAAAAATCTAACTTTAATTTGCCTATATTTCAGACATGCCTTCTCACTGAGACCACATATATATCCCAAATTTATTTTATTTTAATAGGTTGACATATTATTTATTGCTGCATAGCAAATTACTTCACAAGTGATTAAAAACAGCAAACATTTGTTATCTGTGGGTTTGGAAGGCAGGTGCAGCTTAGCCAGGTGGTTTTGGGTCCAGTTGTGTCACGTGGCCGTAACAAGGTGTCAGCCAGGGCCTCTGTTCTCTAAGACCGCACAAAGTGGGGGCTGCTTCCAAGCTCCCTCACGTGGTTGTTGGAAGGCCTCAGGTCTTAGACACATGGACCTCTCCACCTTACAGCTACCTTAGGACGTGGCAGCTGGCTTCTTCAAGTGGGAACAACTCAAGAGAGAGCAAGAGAAAGCATTCAAGAAGCCACAATCTCTCTGGAACCTAATCTCAGAAGTGGCATACCATCATTTCTCCCATACTCTGTTCATCAGAAGTGAGTCACTAGGTCCAGCCCCAACTCAAAGGGAGGAGATTACATGAAGGAATAAATACCATGAGTAGGGACCACCTTTGAGGCTGCCTACCGCAGTTGAAAACTATACTTCGGTATTTCAAGGCCAGGTGTCATGGCTCATGCCTGTAATCCCAGCACTTTGGGAGGCCGAGGCGGGTGGGTCACTTGAGGCCAGGAGTTTGAGACCTGCCTACCCAACATGGAGAAACCCCTTCTCTACCAAAAATACAAAAATGAGCCAGGCGTGGTGGCACATGCACGTAGTCCCAGCTACTCAGGAGGCTGAAGCAGAAAAACTGCTTGAACCTGGGAGGTGGAGGTTGCAGTGAGCCGAGATCGTACTGCTGCATGCCAGCCTGGGTGACAGAGAATTGCTTTTCTTTGTACTGTGTATTTTATTTTTTGCATTTGAAAATAGTATTCTGAGAAGAGGTCCAAAGGCTTCACTAGCTGTATATATAACACAGACAAAGAGTCCCTGCTTCAGTGCCAGACAGATTTGGGTCCAAACCCTGCCTCACCCACCAGCCATGTGGACCTTGAGCAATAACTTCACCTTTGCAGGCATCGGTTGCTCCAACAATAAAATGGACATAATAACAGCATATATCATAGACTTGTTGTAAGGGTTAAATGAAGTCATGCAAAACATTAACATTCTGCCCAGAATATATTAACAAATGGTAGTTATCATCAGTTTAGAAAAGAGCGTGCCTAAATTTCATATGTGTGCATAGTGTTCTACTTCACATGATTATAGAAGCCTGGGATCATGTTTATTAGTGGTCGGGTTCTACTCTTTCTTCCGTTGTATATTTTAAATACCTTAACAAATGTGATGAAGCCTAACGTGTTGGTACCAGATCCCTTACCAAAAGCACCACATAGGCCAGGTGTAGTGGCTCACACCTGTAATCCCAGCACTTTGGGAGGCCAAGGCGGGCAGGTAACTTGAGGTCAGGAGTTGGAGACCAGCCTGGCCAACATGATGAAACCCCGTCTCTACTAAAAATACAAAAATTAGCTGGGCGTGGTGGTGTGTGCCTGTAATCCCAGCTACTCAGGAGACTGAGGCAGGAAAATTGCTTGGACCCAGGAGGCGGAGGTTGCAGTGACCCAAGATCACGCCACTGCACTCCAGCCTGGGTGGCAGAGCAACACTCTGTCTCAAACAAAAACAAACAAACAAAAAACAAAACAAAACAAAAAACACACGACAAAAAAATACCAAGTATTATTATATCCAGATGTATTATATTAACACAAATGACATAAGCATAAGAACGAAATACTGGGCCAAAACGTCCATAGCGGGGAAATGCATAATCCAGCAACCTTCTTACCCATAAAATCTCAGGCCTGATGGTTTGCATTTTCAATGCATTGGCCACTTGTTACACAGTATGCAGGTGACTGCTGTGGAAGATGAGTTGGACTGGAAAAAGATTAAAACCTCTTTCTTCCAGCCACCTGCTTCTGACCAGGTGTTCCTTCCTGCCAATGCAGTACAAAAAGGAAGAGGCAGAGAAGGACCGCAGTTACTCTGTCATCATGTGATCTGTGTTTGTGAATCACGTTTGACAGAGGGCTTGTGCTATCCAGGAATCCAGTAACCATTCAGAGTCAGCGTGGACACCTGAGAGTCAGGAATGGCTTGCTGCCTCCATCTGTTAGTTTCCCTGAGTCTGGAGACCAGGAAGGCAGGATCTGGAATGGGCAAGTGCAGTGTTTTCTCATATTCTGACTTGGAGTCAGGACCCAGGTAGAAACTGCTGGTTCCACTTTGGTAGAGAGCCTCTCCCCGAGCTGGCCTCCTTTGCCCTGGCATGTCCAGCACACAAAGGAGGACATTATTAATATAAACGAGCGGACAGCATCTGTTGCCAGAGAGTCTTAATTAGTCCCCAGCTGGGACTGTGCCACGGGCACATTGCATGTTAGTTGTGATTTCCCAGAAACAATGAGGGAAGACCGAAAACACGAAAACACGTTGTTCCTCCACAGCCCCGCCCTCTCCTGCAACCTCACTCTCAATTCTGGGTTGTAGTTTTTCAAAACAGTACTAGAGAGTTTGATCTGAAATATCTTGATTAGTACTGGAATGAAAATGAATTAAAATTAAGCAAAATGTACATGGGATCTCTTGGTACTATTTCTTACCAACTGCATGTGAATCTACAATTACCTCAGAATAAAAAGTTAAATTTTAAAAATTCAAGCTGCTCAGAATTTACTGTGACAGGAAGAAAGAAAGAAACTGAAAAGGAGGAGGAGGAGGAGGGAAAGAAGAAAGCCCTATTCTGAAAATCAACTTTCTATTTTTTTCTTAAATGGATTTCCTCAATCAAGTTATACCTATCCAAATGATATTCTGTGCCTAGTGGAAGGTTGTGGAACAGAAAATGACACCTGCTCTTTTCCTCTCCTTTCCCCTGACCAATCTGACAAGATCCTTAATAGCAACTGTAAAGAGTATCTCCAGTATTATAAACGAGAGCTGGTCAAGGCCGCCCGCAGTGGCTCAGGCCTGTCATCCCAGAACTTTGGGAGGCTGAGACTGGAGGATCAATTGTGCCCAGGAGTTTGAGACCAACCTTGGTAACATAGGAAGACCCTATCTCTACAAAAAAAAAATGTTTTTTTAATTATCCGGGCGTGGTGGTGTGCACCCATAGTCCCATCTACTTGGGAGACTGAGGCAGGAGGATCACTTGAGCCTGGGAGGTCGAGGCTACAGTGAGCTATGATCACACTACTGCACTCTAGCCTGGGTCCTGGGTGACAGAGTGAGGCCCTGTCTCAAAAAAATAAAAATAAAGAGAGCTGGTCAGAGTTGCTGACTCCCCTCCAGAGAGAAGGACAGAGAAGATACACTTTTCATGATAAATCCTTTTAGACTTCTAAATTTTATAGTGTGTATATATACTACCTAGTCCCAAAATATTATTCCTCAAATCTTACATAAGGTCTAGCTCAAACAAGTCCTTCTTGATTAAGCCTTTCCCGTTTTACCACTTAGAATTCACCACTAATAGAGGGGTAGTGCTCAAGCCTGGCTGCCAGTAGAAAAACCTGAGAGATTTTTAAAAAATGCCCAAACTCGGTGCCCTCCCCAGACCAGTGGACTGAGAATCGTGGAGGGGAGGAGGTCAATCTGGGTATTTTTCAAAGCTCCTCAAGTAATGTTAATATGTACTCGGGGTTGAGAACTTTTGCCCTGACCCTTTATGGAGCCCATATTTAAGCACTCACCCTATGAGTAAACTGAGTAATTGATTAAAAAGTAAAAAACACTTTCACACCTTTTATCTCATTTGGTCTCTATAATAACAACACGTAAACTGGGCTTCATTTTCCCACTGCACAGAGGAGGAAGTGGAGAGCTGAGCTGCTAGAAGTTACCAAGGTCCCTTTGAGAGCTTCAGTTCTGCACTTCTTGTATTTGATCATCTCCCCTGAGATTAACAGATTTTGCTCTCCCCACCCAGAGCCCAGTATCGCACCTTTCATTCAAGCAGTTCAACCTCAATAACCAAAACAGTGAAAAATGAGTAGCTCAGCAGAACACCAGGAAGTCACTCCCAGTGACAGAACCCCACAGGGTGGTTCAGCTTCCTCATAGGTTTCTCACATTACGGGTAACAGTTCATCTTCCTGTTTCTTTCACTTCTTGTTTACCCCTATCAAAACCACCTCAGTCGCATATTTGAAATGCATTTTCCCAAGCCCCAGATTAATCAGAATCCCCGCGGGTGTTGTTCAAGTATATCTTGTGTGTATGTGTGTATCTGTGGGAAAATATACATAAAATTCACCATCTTAGCCCATTTTGTGTGTGGTTTAAGCAACAAATATTTATTTTCTCACAGTTCTGGAGGTTGGAAGTCTGCAATCAGAGCATCAGCATGGTCAGGTGAGGGTCCTCTTCCCAGCTGGCGGGGGTCCACCATCTCAAGGTGTCCTCACTTGGCCTGTTTGGCCTTTGCAGAAGACAGGCAGATCTGGAGAATGAGAGATTACTACAGACTTAATCAGGTGGCGGCCTCAATTGTAACTGCTATTCCTGATGTGGATTCATTCTGGAGCAAATCAGCCCATCCCCTGGTGCCTAGCAGGCAGCTACTGGTAGGCGAAGGCTTTCTTCTCCATCCCTGCATCTTGTGGCTCACTAACATGCACGTGAGCCTGGTATGCCAGGAACACGTGCTGCGCCAGCGGCTGGGCTTCCAGCGAGGTACAGAGAGGGGACACACGCCTTTCAGGGGGAGAAAGGGGCAGGGAGGGCCTCTAGGGACACCACGTCAGGACCCTCCCACTGCACCCAGGCCTTGGAGTGGGCCACCCTGCCCAGGACCCATCTTAACCATTTTTAAGTGCACCATTCAGTGGCAGTAAGTACATTCACATGTTGTGCTATCATCACCATGGTCTATCTCCAGAACTTTTTAATCTTCCCATACAGAAACACCTATTAAAGAACTTCCTATTCCCCTCTCCCCCAGCCCCTGTTAACCACCATTCACTTTCTGTTTCTAGGAGTTTGACTACTTTATTAGATTGCTGCAAAAGTAATTGTGGTTTCCATATTTAAAAAAAAATGGCAAAAGCTGCAATTAATTTGTTTTTTTGGTTTTTTTTTTTTTTTTTGAGACGGAGTTTCACTCTTGTTGCCCAGGCTGGAGTGCAATGGCACAATCTCAGCTCACTGTAACCTCTGCCTCCTGAGTTCAAGCGATTCTCCCGCCTCAGCCTCCTGAGTAGCTAGGATTACAGGCATGCGCCACCACACCCAGCTAATTTTGTATTGTTAGTAGAGACGGGGTTTCTCCATGTTGGTCAGGCTGGTCTCGAACTCCTGACCTCAGGTGATCCGCCTGCCTCCACCTCCCAAAGTGCTGGGATTACAGGCATGAGCCACTGTACCCAGCCTGCCTATTTTTTAATCGAATTATTTATTTTTATGTGGTTGAGTTGTAGGAGTTCTTTATATATTCTGGATATTAACTCCTTATCAGATCTATGGTTTACAGATATTTGCTCCCATTCTGCAGGTTGCCTTTCCACTCTGTTGATTGTTTCCTTTCCTGCACAGAAGTTTTTGCAGTCCCACTTGCTATTTTTGCTTTTGTCACCTGTGCTTTTGTGTCATACACTAGACATCATTGCCAAATCCAATGTCATGAAGATTTCCTCCTATATTTTCTCCTAAGAGTTTTATAGCTTCAGGTCTTACATTTAGGTCTTTAATACATTTTCAGTTAATTTTTGTACAGTCAAGAGTCCAATTTCATTCTTTTGCAGGTGGATATCCGGTTTTCCCAATTCCATTTGTTGAGAAACTATCCTTTCCCCATTGTGTTGTCTTGACACTCTTGTCAAAGATCATTTGATGATATACATGAGAGTTTATTTCTGGGCTCCTTATTCTGTACCATTGGTCTATATGTCTGTCTTTATGTCAGTGACATTCTGTTTTAATTACCCTACCTCTGTAATGCTTTAAAATCAGGAAGTGTGAGGCTTCCAGCCTTGTTTTCCTTTCTCAAGATGTTTTGGCTATTTTTGAGATTCTATATGGATTTTAGTATTTTTTTTCTATTTCTATAAACAATGACATTGGAATCTTTGATAAGCATTGCATTGGATCTGTATATTGCTTTGTGTAGTATGGATATTTTAATGCTTCCAATCCCTGAACATGAGATGTCTTTCTGTTTGTGTCTTATTTAATTTCATTTAGCAATGTTTTACAGTTTACTATATGCCTTTCACTTTCTTGGATAAGTATTTTATTTATTTGATGCTGTTGTAAATGGGATTGTTTTATTAACTTTTTTCAGATTACTCATTGTCAGTCTTTAAAAATGCAACTGATTTTTGTGCGCTGAATTTGTATCCTCCAACTTTGCTAAATGTATTAGTTCTAACAGTTTTTTATTTTTCTGGAATATTTCAGATTTTCTACAAATAAGATTATATTATTTGCAAACATATATAATTTTTTTCTTCCTTTCTAATTTGAGTGCCTTTTATTTCTTTTTCTTACCTAATTGTTTGGGCTAGTACTACCCATAGTATGTTGAGTAGAAATGTAGAAAATGGACATTCTTGTCTTGTTTCTGATCTTGAAAGAAAGCCTTCAGTTTTTCACCGCTGGGTATGATTATTAGCTATAGCCTTTATTATGTCAAGATAATTTCCTTCCATTTCTGAGCTGAGTCTGTACCTGCTCCTGTACCTGTTCTCAGAAAAAGCCAGCTATGGGTGAAGAGACGGTGTGGAGAGAGGCCCACCAAAAACCTGGCAGGCTTCAGAGTTTTCTAGTGCTGAGTGGTCAAGTGTCCCTCTGGTCTGCTTAACACTTCCTCTACCTAACCCTTCCTCAGAAATCACTGTCTTCCCTCATTCAAGAGGAGGAGAAAGAGAGTGAACAGTGTACCAAGTGCTGACATGCATTATCTCATTGAAGCCTCACTAGGTATTACTATCTGCATTTTGTAGATGAGAGAAGTGAGGCTCGTGAAGTTTAAGCAACTTGCACAACCAGCGTCAAATAAGTGGACAATTAGAAGTGGTGGAGATTGGACCCTAAAATGAGTCTTTCCAGACATAATACCCAGGTTCTTCCCACTGTAGCTCCTTCTCTCATTCATTCAACGAATGCCTACTACGTGCCTTTCCCTGTGCTAGGAGCTCAGAGAACTACAAGGAAAAGCAAGATGTGGCACCTGCATTCAAGGAAACCACTGCTAAGAGAGGATATAAATGCCAAATCTGTAATTATAACAGATAGAAAAAAGTGCTACAGGGTGTAAACACTATGGGAGCACAGACAAGCAGGGATTCTGGGGTATGAGTTGAGATCCGCTCACCCAAAGCAATGTCCAGTCCTGCAAGCGCCTTTTACAGTAAGTGCCCTATATAGGTGTACCATTTTTAATATTTTATACTGTATTTTTATTATACTTTTCCTACATTTAAATACACAAATACCATTGTGTTACAGTTGCCTAGAGTATTCAGTATAGTAACATGCTGTACAGGTTTGTACCTAGGAGAACTAGGCTATACCATATAGCCTAGGTGTGTAGTAGGCTATACCATCTAGGTTTGTGTAAGTGCACTCTATGATGTTCACACAAGGACAAAATTGCTTACCAATGCATTTTCAAGAGTGTATCCCTGTTGTTAAATGATGCATGACTATATTATCATCATTATTATCCTCTGATCAAACTCTCCAGTGCCTTCCACTCTGACTCAGATAAAAGCTGAAGTCTTTACAGTGGCCTATGAAACCCAACATCAGGGGTGTCCAATCTTTTGGCTTCCCTGGGCCACATTGGAAGAATAATTGTCTTGGGCTACACATAAAATATACTAACTCTAATGATAGCTGATGAGCTAAAAGAAAAAAAAATCTCATGATGGTTTAAGAAAGTTTACGTATTTGTGTTGGCTGCATTTAAAGCCATCCTGGACTGCATGAGGCCTGTGGGTACCTGCGGGTTGGACAAGCTTGCCCTACGTGTTCTGACCCCGGTTATCTCCTGTTTCTCTCACTCATGTTTTCTCTACTCAAGCCATCCTGACCTCTTTGCTCTTCCTTGAAAGTGCCAGGCATGCTCCCACCTCAGGACCTTTGCACATGCAGTACCTTTGCCTGGAGGGCTCTTCCCCAGGTCTCTGCCTGGCTCGCTGCATAATTCCTCCACATTTCTGCTCACATGTCACTTTCCCTGACTACCCTATCAAAAATTGCAAACAACCCCACTGCAATACTTCCCTATTGTATTTTTCTCCATATTTTCTATTACCATCTAATATGCCACATAATCGATTTAGTTTTCCTATTTATCTGTTTCCCTCACTTAAGCTCTACCAGGGCAGAATTTTTGCCTGTTTCATTTGCTTCTGTAACCCCAGTATCTACAACAGTGCCTGACACAGAGTAGGTGCTCAATAACTGTTTATTCATTATATCAGTTAATTACTTAATGGCAAGTCTGCACTGACACTCCAACATCTCTGGTTTTATTAAATGTCTCTCATAACTGTGGTGATTATTTCTGTATTGGCAGACATGCAATTAATCCATTATGTACAATATGCAAACACTCTGTTGGAGACAGATACACAGTGACATATGAGACATGGCAGTCCCTTGTCTCCAAGAAGCTGTGGTTTGACCAGAAACGGAATATCTGAAATTGAGACAGTTCTCAAAAGTCTGGAAACCATGGTTCCCGGTGTCCCAGACTGGAATCTGCAGAAAGAGCAGCAGAGAGAAAGTCTTTGCCATGTCTTAAAAACTAAGTGTCTGGTCCAGTGGTCCACTGAGCATGTTGTTCATTCTGGGCCTGAGAACATCTAGTGAGGATAGCTAATGTTCATATAGTTCAGTGAAATTAATACTAATTAACAACCAGGTACACCATGAAACTATCTGAAGAAACCTGCTCCCTGGTTTTAATAGAGAAGTGGATTCTTGCCTGTGTTACTGTTAACTTTTACAATTGTGTCTTGTTAATGCTTTCCTGTCCATTTTTCCCATGATTGTGTCAATTTAGGGGAAGAGAGCAGAGTAGACATCATTTTCTCAAGATTTGCATCAAGTCAAACGGCACTTTTTTTCCCCTCCCAAACAGGACCATATTTGTCCTTTCCTTTGCTGAAAGTAGCACTAACATAGTAAGTGATAGGTCAGGTGTTACTTCCTTGCCCAGGTGTTGATTCTAATTTTGGCACCAAATCGTGTATATTTAAGCAGAAACCTCACAGAGGGTGTGTTTCACACTGTGCGCATATCAAAACAGGTTTCAGCTGGTGTGGGTGCCCACAATTCAACTAACTCCACCTGTGCAGTAACCAAACCCTCCTACAGAACAAAACCAACTTGAATGTTTGGCTGCAGTCAACAGTGATTAAGAACACAGTCCTGAAGCTTTGTATTCAGAAGGAAAATTCTTGTCTGTCACGCCCTCCACCACCCCCACCCACACCCACACCTCAGCCTAGGTGGGGTTGTTGAGTTTCATTCTTCCAAAGCACCCCTTTGCAATACTTAGCATGTCTGTAGTTGTGTGTTCGTTTGTGATTATCTGCCTTCCCTCACTATAGTGTCAGCTCAGTAAGGGACTGACTGTATTTTCACACTTGCTGCAGCATTCAAATGCCTTGCTCGGTAAGTGTGCAATACACATGCGCATTGATGAGTGGCTGACAACTTTCCAGCTGTGCCAAATGTATGGGGACGTAAAGAGGACCTCCAAATGTAACCAGAACACCCACATTTAATCCGAACTCTGCCCCCTTCTAGCTTTGTGACTCTGGAAGTCCTTCAGCCTCTCTGAGCTTCTATGTCTTCATCTGCAAAATAAAAATGATAATGATATTCTCCTCCGAGGCATTTCTAAGGAGTAAATGAGACTGACTTCTAAGTGCTCGGTAGACATCCAGTGGTCATAAGACAGATTCATTTAAATGGTAAACACGTTAAGCACTAATGTTATAAAATAACTGCTTAGTGGAAAATAAGATGAGATTTTAAAATTGAGGATATGGTCATCTATATCTTTGCCATTTAAAATAAGTTTGAGGGAAAAAAGGATACCCGTAAGCGCGTAGGAAATTGTGGAAGTGGCTGCAAATAAACGCGTATTTATTGTCTGCTTTATAGTTTCTAGACTGCAAGTGCCTTGTGCTACTTTATTTTCGAGTGCTGAATCCAGCCTAGGCACAGTCAATACATATTAACTAAATGGATGACCACCTGACCTATATCAGCTCTACATTTCCTCCAGCTGTTAATCTGCCCACTCCTTCAAGCACAAGGCATTTGACTAATACCTGGGAATGAAATTGCTTTACCTGGATTCAGTCTTATGATGTTTATGAATCCAGCACTGAATACTGCTTTCTCTTTGTTTAAGGTTGTATGAAGCTACTGATTCTGTGAATTAGCCAAAACATTGCCCTAATTTCTATGGGTACCTAGTGACTCTGGTCACATCCTCACTTCCCAGGGATGTGTTAAGGTCACCCACCCAGGCAGAGCTTTTAGGGACCAGTCCAAAAAAAAGAAAAGTAGGACTGGGCACGGTGGCTCACACCTGTAATCCCAGCACTTTGGGAGGCCGAGGCCAGCGGGTCACCTGAGGTTTGGCGTTCAAGACCACCCTGACCAACATGGAGAAACCCCGTCTCTATTGAAAATACAAAATTATCCGGGCGTGGTGGTGCATGCCTGTAATCCCAGCTACTCGGGAGGCTGAGGCAGGAGAATCACTTGAACCTGGGAGGCGGAGGTTGCGGTGAGCCAAGATCATGCCACTGCATTCCAGCCTGGGCAACAAGAGCAAAACTCCATCTCTAAATAAATAAATAAATAAATAAATGTAACCATCAGGATGGTTGTCGGCCTGGGGGAGGAGGAAAGGGGGAATTGTGGTTTTGTGGGTAGAGCATTTCAGTTTTGCAAGATGAAAAGTTTCTGGAGATTGGTGGCACAACAGTGTAAATATACTTAACATTACTGAGCTATGCACTAAAAATCATTAAGGTAAATTTTTTGTGTTTTCTACCATAATTTTAAAAATGTAGCTATCAGAGTCTTTACAATACACTGAGGAAGCCACCATGAAATAAAGATGCTGTATTTTATTTTATGGCTGTGTATGGAAAGCTTGGGGTGTCCTTCCCTCCAGAATTCTTGCAAACATAAGAACAGGTCTGCAGGACCAAATAGGAATAAAATATCTTCCAAATATTTCACATCGCAAAGATGAAAACTGACCTTAGAAAATGACTGTCTACGCTATGAAATAGTGTATGGAAGTTATTAAATATTTGTACGAAGTACATGAACCCCAATTAACTCTGCTTTTTCACCAGAGACAAATCAAAGTAATTGAACTGAAATTTATTGCAATGCTTGGGTTTTGAACAAAGGCCTAGCAATGATAAAGCTTCTCTAGCAATGACTACAGACCTGTCGGGGTGAATACACACCTGGTTTCGGCTCACAGAGTTCTCCAGCTCCATTCAAGTTACTCTGCCAAAGTAATAAGCCTTTTGTCTTCTTGCTTCACAAGGCAAGGTTACCTAGGGTTCAATGCCTAATGGTAGTAGAATGGGTTTTCAATAGTTACATATACCTTCTTTAGAAATCAGACTAGCCTCATCCAACAGCTTTGTCTCTTGTCATATTTCAGCCATTGTTTTAGGCAGCAACGTTCTAAATACAGTTAATCCAGAGCTTTTCAAATTCCTCATTTGCTTTTGTTTCTTAAAGCATTCAATATTGCTGATCATGCCTCCTTTTTGAAAAGCTCTCTACAGCTTTGTCTCTAGCTGTGGTTTTCTGTTTTTCTTTCTCCTCTGACTCCATACTTCTTGCTGCCTTTGCTCCCTTGCTTCTTTCTCTTCTATTCATTCAGTGAATATTGATGGAGTGAGGCACTCTCAGCAGGGAGCAAAATAGATGTGAAGCCTGCTCCCGGGGGTGCAACTGAGAAATAAGAGATAGGTGTGGATCAAATCATCACAGTAACAAGAGTCAACTTGCAATGACTGCCCATGCTGGGGACACTGGGCCATGAGTGGTCAAGGAAGACTGGGACTGAGATCTGAAGCACGAGTGGGTGTGTATTGATGAGGTGAAAAAGCAAGGTCATAACCCCAGTGTTCACTCCCTAGGCAGGCTCCATCCTTTACCAAAAGCCTTAATTTGCATTGTGCTTACTGATTTGCAAATCACTTCCACCCATATCTTGTCATGCTAATATTCTGAATGAGGAAAGACGGGCATTATTAGCCCTTCACAGAATTGAAGACACAAGGTTAGAGCCCTTAAATGGCATACCCAGAGCCACGTGGTCAGTAAGTAACACCACTGGACTGACCATAAGTCCTGGGAGTATCACCTCTCTTTCTTGGTGACTCATTCACTCACCATCACGACCTCAACTCTCACCTCAACAGAAAACTCTTAGATTCCCCCTCTCTGTTCAGATGTACATTTCGTATTAGCTGCTAAATATTTCCACCTGGATATTCCAATAATGTCACCTAAACAAAATATCTAAAACTATTAGTCCTCTACAAAAGCCAGTTTTGCTTTTGAAATTTCCTACATTTGTTCTAATGGTATTGTTCTGCCAGCCAGTTGGGGCCAAAGCCTGGAATCCATTCTCTTCTCCTTCTCATTTCACCATGGCTCCTGGGTGAGTCACCAAATCCTCTGAGGATCCCTTCACAAAGATGTGTCCATCTGTCCAATTTCATCTCCATTTCTATTTCTACTCCCTGGATCAGTGTGTCATTCACAACTGTTGGGCAGCAACCATCTGCTCCTACTCTGTCTACGATACCATAGGCAGCTCCTACTCGGTCTATGATACCATCTTCCCCTCAAGGAGTATACAGCCAAAAGGGAAGATCAGACACATCCACAAACACCCAGAGATCATAATCCAAAGCTGAAAATGCTGTGTCATTACATAAATACTTACTATGTGCCTGACATGTGTCACAAATTCTTCTGGAATTCCTGCTGAAATTCTTGCTGCAAGCTAATTCTTCCTTTGCTCTGGAGCACTAGATGTATAAGAATAAGAAGAAGACTGGAATAGTAAGAAGACATGCTTTCTGTGCTTCAAGGGGAAAGAAAGGACTAGAACATAAGCTCCACAAAGGCAGAGAGTTTTGTCTGTTTTGGTTCACCACTGTATCCTCAGCTTTTAGAACAGTGCTGGACACTTAGTAGGCTCTTAGTAAATACTTGCTGAATGAAAGACAGAATGAGCAAATTTGTAACTGCACTTCTGGCTTCACTTGGCCGTGTCTTGGAGGTCCCCTCCCTAGAATGCAAACATGGATTAAGGCTGACTGGTTATTCATTTGCAAGATAGATACCATGTACTCATAATTTTCCCTCCCCTCTCATACTGAGCCACTGTTCTTGACCCCAACGCAGGACCCCTAATTCTTTTTCTCTTGGAAGGAGTTATACCCTAGGGGGCTTTTTGAGTCCTCATGAGAATAGATTCTTGTAGGCCCACCCCATCAGTTCTCCTGAGTAAATGTGGACTGAAAACAGCTGCCTACAATCCTAAAATAGGATTCCCCAACCACACCCCAAAACTTCCGATCACCTGGACTCTCATCACCTGAGATAAACCTTATTAACATTTTGATGGCATTTCCTTGATGCATCTCACTATATATTCATATATCTATCTATAATTTTACATAAAAGGAATCATACTATATGTAAGAGTTAAAGAAAGAGGAAAGAAACAAGAAAAGTGGCTCAACAGTCAAAGACAGGTTTACTTTGGAGAATAAACCTGAGAGAGGCTTCTAGCCAATTTCAGTCAGGAGCATTCTCTTTTAAAGACTAAGGGTATTTAAGGGTTTAGGAAGAGGGTAGCTTATCGCAGGCGCAGGCTTGGAATGTTTCTTTGTGAGGGAAAGTTTATTGCAGGGTTGGAATGTCTCTGGAATGTCTCAGGTTAGAATGTTTATTGCAGGGTGGGGAGGCTATCTTGGGTTGGCATGTTTGTGGTCAGAGGGCGGTTTATCTTAGGGTTGGAATGTTTTTGGTTATGGTGACATTAGCCATTAGGCTGATGTTTTGGGGCTGGATTTAGGTGGTTTTTTTTAAATCAAGGGGAACTTAAAATGGTGGCATTTGTCCAAGATAGCAATGCTACTGCTCTGTCAATCCAGTCCCTATAGTTATAAAAAGAACTAGGGGCGGCATTTTCTTTTTGGCTACTTCCTGCTGAGGGGCGGCAGGCGGAGAGTTCTTTGGTCTTGGATTGATTATAGGAGTAAGACTGTCTGTAGATGTTTTTGGGTAATTGTCTGTGAGTTGGCCATGATCCTGTCAGTTAAAAATCTTTGAAAAGGTTTAATTAAGCACAGTAAGAACATTAGTCCTAGACGATCATTAGGAGAGGCCCCAGGAATGGGATGACCCATGTTAGGATTTTGTTCCTAAACCAAAAATCTATTTGGTTGTTTTGGTATTCCCTTAGCTTTTTAGCCCTTTCCTTAAGTTTTTCAGCAGCGTCTCTTACTAGGCCTGATTGGTTGAGATAGAAGCAATGTTCCTCACTCAATGAGAGACAGAGGCCCCTTTTTCAGCCGTTATAAGATCTAATCCCCATCTATTTTGGAGGACTACTCCAGCCAAGGAGTGTAGTTGGTCTTGGACTCTTATAAGGCTTCAGGCTATATCTTCTAATGAACCCTGTAGTTCTGTCAAAAGAGCTTTAAAGTATGTTAAGAAGGTGACCAATCTGCCTGCTCCCAATCCAAGCCCAGAGGTTATACCTAAGGCAGCCATCGAAGAAATGACTTGGATGGCCCTCCTTTTTCTAACATATTGGACAGATGGAATGGGTAAAGATTGATTAGGAGTAACTAGTCCAATGGAGGGAGAAAGATAAGCTAGGGTACAGGTTCCAATCCAGTTGGTGGGGAGACAAAGATATGTGTGGGTGCCACACAAAAAGAACAAGCCTTTGTCGTAAATACAAGAGGAAATGTGGAAAGAAAATAAGTGAATTAAAGATAGGGTGTTTCTTTCCCGTGGTTCATTACTCCAGGTGGACAAGGAGGAGGTCAGGGAGACACCCGCTGTAGTAGGGATATAGGAAGAGTTATTTCTTACACATTTAGTGTGATCGGATGTTGCACCATTGATATTGAGCCACAGAAAAAGGTGAGCATCAGGGACAGCACAAGTTAGGCCAGAGGCATTGGTTGAGGGAGAGGCTGTAAAACGAGCCGGTTGCAGAAATGCTCCGTTTGCTTCAGATGATACTTGGTAGTCAACCCTGTTAGTCTGAATGGTCAGAGGGGTGTTTAACAAGGAAAGTGCAGTTGCATTGATTAGAAGTTAAGGAACCTACAGGGAAATTTCACTCAGAGGCTGAAAAACAAAGTGAGCCTTCTTGTAAAAGAGCGGTGGGGCCAGGGGTGGTGGCTCATGCCTGTAATCCCAGCACTTTGGGAGGACGAGGCAAGTGGATCACGAGGTCAGTAGTTCAAGACCAGCCTGGCCAGCATGGTGAAACCTCATCTCTCTCTACTAAAAATACAAAAAATTAGCCGGGCATGGTGGCACGCACCTGTAGTCCCAGCTACTTGAGAGGCTGAGGCAGGAGAATTGCTTGAACCCAGCAGGTGGAGGTTGCAGTGAGCCAAGATCGTGCCACTACACTCCAGCCTGAGTGACAGAGTGAGACTCCGTCTCAAAAAAAAAAAAAAAAAGAGGGTATGTTTAGTTTTGGGCCCTTCAATGGGGGCCTTGGGCTTAAGGCATTGTAGGGAGTTATAATAGGTTTGAAATAATTTGTTGGCCTGATTGGCCTTGGAAGTGAGATAATCACTGACCAGGGAGACAGCTCTATCGAAAAAGGAAGCTCCTTTTTGGAGTTTATAAATTAGAGTTATGTTTCCTGTTAAAAGGTCATGAAGGGGTGTAGGAAGGGCTGTGTAAGCTGAGGAAGACAGCGATAAGCACATCCAGCACTCTGGAGCAAAGGAAGAGTTAGGTTGCTGCAGGAGGAATTGTGTAAGGTTTATAGAGCATTCTAGTTTGAGAGCAGTGAGGAGTGGTTGTATTGGTGAGGTTGATGTGATTAGGGAATTTATATTGAAAGAAAGAAGCAAAAAGAGAGAAAAGTTATTTGGGTAGGAGTAAAGTCCTGGAAAGTTCTTTGAAGCCATAGGTCCCATAGAACAGTAAGGAGCTGATCAGGATGTATAATGGGAGCTTTGTAAGGGTACCAATGAAGGTCTGTAACAAGGTTGATTAGGAAGAGATGAAAGTTTGGGAAAGAGACATAAGCGGCTTATGTGGATTTCTCCTCCTTTTCCTCTGGGATTTGGGTGAGGCAAAGAGAAGTGGGTCCTGTGGAGACACAAGAGAAGGCTGAAGGGGTTTTAGATTTGGTTGTTTGGGTATGTGGATGAAGGCAAGTCTGTTTTCTTGAGAGAAGTATAATGAAACCACTGGGGAGTCTCTGGAGTTTTGCTGCCATGGGTGTAGTAAGGATGATCTGGTAAGGTCCCTTCCATTTAGGTGTGAGGGGGCAGTTGGGGGTAGGACTGGGATCTTTTACCAGAACCCAGTCTCCTGGCTGTAGGAAGGGATTAGAGGAGTCAGCGACAGGTTGTGGCAGGTATTTGTCAGCATATTCCAAAATGAAATGGCGATAGTATGTAGAAGAGGGGAAACGAGAGGGATTGGTAGAGGTGGGGCTTGACCCTGAGGTGGAGCAAAAGGGGTTAGTTGTCTCCCATATACGAGTTTAAAAGGGCTGAGCATTAAAGGTTTATGTGGTAGTGCCCAAATTTTTAGAAGGGCTAAAGGCAAAAGTGTAACCCAGTCTTTATGTGTTTGGAGTGAGTACCTGGTGAGGGTGCTTTTTAGAATGCCATCCATTTTTTCAACCTTTCCTGAAGATTGAGGTCGATAGGGGATGTGTAGCTTCCGGGTGATTTTTAGGGCTTGTGCAAGTGTTTGAGTAATCTGAGAAATGAATTCAGGACCATTATCAGATTGAAAAGAAAGAGGCACCCTGAGCCTGGGGATGATTCCTGTTATTAATTTGGAGGTGACAGTAGAAGCTCATTTGTGGGTTGGGGGAAAAGCCTCAACCCATCCTGAAAAGGTATCAACCAGAACTAAAAGAAATTGAACCCTTTTTACTGGGGGCATATGGGTAAAATCAATTTGCCAATCCTGTCCTGGAAGATTTCCCCTGGTTTGATGTGTTGGGAAAGAAGGTGATCTAGTGTTGGAGTGAGGTGAATCTTTTTGGCAAATAGAGCATTGATGGGAAATGGCTTTTAACTGTTCCTTTATATCTGGGGTTATGTGTATATGGGAACTTAAGAAATGTTGTAGAGAGGGAATGGCTAGTGTGGAAGAGGTTGTGAATGTTCCATAGAAGAGTTGTTTTTTCAGGGTCAGGTAGGACTAATTTGTTTTGTATGAACCAATATGGGGTTTGAATTGTGCCCCCGCCATGATTAGTTGTTGTGTTTGGTGTTCTGGACAAAAGGAGGGGATATGTTGTATGAGGGGAAATAGGTACTGGGGAATTGGGTCATTGGTTGAGGTGTGTTTTGCCCAGTAGTCAGCCTCATGGTTCCCTAAAGAAATGTGGCTTTTGTCTGATTCATGTCCTTTGCAAAGGATAACCGCAACGTTTTCTAGAAGTAGAGTTGCCTTTAATAGATGATGAATGAGTTTTCCATTAATGATAGGGGTTCCCTTACCTGTGAGATAGCCCTGCTCACTCCAAATTTGGACATTGGAGTGGATGATATTGTAGGCATATTTAGAATCAGTGTATATTTTAACTTGTGTGTTTTTTGCTAGGGTTAGTGCTCTTATTAGCACTAATTCTGCTTGTTGGGGGATGTGTCCAAAGGCAAGGGGGCAGCCTCTGTGACTCTTCTAGGTGGGAGAAAGTGGGTACCATCATGATATCCTTCAATGATGGCGTATCCCTGTTGGAGGGGATAGATTTTTGATGCACTGCCATTCAAAAACCACTCTGGGGCTCCTTTCTTGTGAGTGGAAGTAAGGTGGTGAAACATGGTGAGGGAACTTTCAATTAAATCAGAGCATGAGTGTTACTCAGGGTCCAAAATTGGTGTTGAAGGTAAAAGAGGGGCGGGATTATGAGGAGAGCATCTATGAAGAGAGATAGAGGGTTGAAGGAGGGTTGAATGTAGGACTTGCGTGTGAGAGGATGAGATGGAGGTGAGTGCCTTATGGCTGAGTGTATCTTGTAGATTGTGAGAAGAAAATATCTGAAAGGGTTCGTAGAATGTGAGTTTTTGTGCCTCAGAGATAATTAAAGAGGCTGTGGACAAAATTTTCAAGCAAAGGGGCCAGTTTTTATAAATGGGGTCTAGTTGTTTTGAAAAATATGCCACTTGGCTTGGGAGTCTCCCATGGATTGGGCTGATAGTCCAAGGGCCTGATAATGTGAACTGTGTAAATATAGATGAAAAGGTCTTAGGGGATTTGGAAGGCCTACAGCAGGGGCCTGTAATAAGGCATGTTTTAGGCAAGAGAAAGCATGATAAAGGTCTGGGGTGGGAGTGAGTGGTTGGTCAAGATTTCCTTTTTACATATAATAAATGTACATAGCATTTATTATATGACAGACACTGTGGAAAAAACCACAGTGAGTAATGCATATAGGTATTGGCCCCATGTGGGGTATCATGACAAACCTGCCATTGGCATATCTGGTCTTCATACCTACCATTCTAAGATGTTTTGTGGGTTTGCTTGCGTGAGGGAATCTGGCCATGCCCAGAAAAGACACACCATAGCTGATGGGGGCCGGAAGGGTCTTGATTACCTTGCAGATGCTAAATAAACCCACTAATCCAAGGAAGGAAAGTAAGTCCCTTTTTGTTTTAGGAAATGGGATTTGTTGAACACCTTGCTTTCATGCCGGCAGCATTTCTTGGGTATTTGGAGTTATGATCAGTCCTAAGTATGAAACTTTTGGAGATGTTAATTGGGCCTTCCTTTTGTATACCCAGTACCTGCATTCAGCCAAAAAATTTAAAAGCTTGATGATATGTTGAATACAACTAGAGAGGGGCTGCAAGAGACAGACCTTGTCTCAAAAACAAAACAAAACAAAAAACCTAAATCATTCTTCCTAAAGGTCACATTATATTCCATACAATGTGGATGTATCACAGTTTGTTCATTCATTTCCTTTGATGGACATTCACTGTTTCTAGCTCTTTGCCGCTATGGACAATGCTATAACAAATATGTTTGCATGTATGTTTGTGCCAGTGAGATAGATTTCTGAGAGTGGAGTTGTTGAGTCGACAGGTGTATGCATTTTATTTTTCAGAGAACTTTTGTTTACTTAACAAGAATGTACATAGCATTTATTATATGACAGACAGTGTTTTCAGCATTTCTCAAATATTAACTCATTTATTAATCCACATTGCCTTCCAAAACAAGCCATAACACTTTATGTTTCCACCAATAGGTATGATGACATTTTTCTCATATCCCACTAGCAGGTAACAGTATGATTCCTTTTAACTTTTGCCAATCAGATGGATACCAAGTACAGGTTGAGGTCCCTTACCCAAAATGCTTGGAGCCAAAAGTGTTTCAGATTTTGTTTTGGAATATTTGCATTACCCTCTGGGCATCATGTGGGCCTTCTAGACATTTTCAACAATATCTTTATGCCACAAGAGAGAGAATAAGCAGAAAAAACTACAGTGAGTAATGCATATAGGTATTGGCCCCATGTGGGGTATCATGACAAACCTGCCATTGGCATATCTGGTCTTCATACCTACCATTCTAAGACCTTTTGTGGGTTTGCTTGCGTGAGGGAATCTGGCCATGCACAGAAAAGATACATCATAGCTGATGGGGGCCGGGAGGGTCTTGATTACCTTGCAGATGCTAAATAAACCGTGCAGTTGACATCTGCGTTTTGACTGAGATCTGTCACATGAGGTCAGTGTGGAATTTCCCATTTAGAGTGTCATGTCCACACTCAAAGTTTCTGATTTTGGAGCATTTCAGATTTTCAGATTAGAAATGCTTAACCTGTAATATCTTACTGTTACTGTAGCCTGTATTTCCCTAACTCTAGTGAATTTAAGTGTCTTTTCATATGTTTGTGGGTCTTTGGATTTATTTTTCTCTATCCCCTTGCAATTCATATTGGTTGCACATTTTCTGTTGGGTTTTTGGTCATTTTTCTTGTCAATTTGTAAGAGCTCTTCATCTGTTTTTTAAAAATCAACCCCTTTTCTATCATATGCTTTATTATTATTTTCAAATCTACTGTTATTGACTTTGTTTATGATTGGTTTTGTCTTAAATTTAAAAAATTTTTTATATAATCAAACATGGCTACCTTTACTTTATCGCTTGTAGGTTTCTATTGATCATGTAGTTACCTAGATTTCTTGCCTAGAGTTTTAAAATTTATATCTAAGCCTTTTATTCATCTGCAGTGTATTTTCATATGTAGTATAAGACAGAGTCTTTTTAAATTTTCTTCCAGAAAGTAGTCAGTTGTTAATTAAATGGCCCATTTCTTTCCTCCTGAATTAAATTACCACATTTGTCTACGTGAACATCTCCTCAGAATCTAACTCTATATCCATACTTGTAGAGGTTTGATTATTGTGGCTTTAGTTTCCGATTATCTGGTAGGGCAAATCTCCCTTATTGTTTTTCTTTCTCATAGTTTTCTTAACTAAGAGTTTTTCCCCTATATTTTCTGTTACTTACTTGTTAGAACTATTCCTAAAGAATGTATAGTTTATGTCAACATTATATATGCATAAATATGTTCCCATTCTTATTTTTAGTTGGTTCCTATTAAGGTAGAAAAAAAGCTATTGTGGGCTGGGAGCAGTGGCTCACACCTATAATCCTAGCACTTTGGGGGGCCAAGGCGGGAGGGTCACTTGCAATCAGGAGTTAGAGACCAGCCTGGCCAACATGGTGAAACCCTGTCTCTACTAAAAATACAAAAATTAGCTGGGCATGGTGGCACGCACGTGTAATCCCAGCTACTCGAGTAGCCACTGGTACCCATGCCACTGTACTCCAGCCTGGGGACAGAGCGAGACTCTGTCTCAAAAAAATAAAAAAGAAGGCAAAACAATTACAAGACATATTAAGAGAGTGTGATAAGATATAGGATGCTACATAGATACACAAAAAACAATAGCTTTTTTCTTTTTCTTTTTTTTTTTTTTGTCACCTAGGCTGGAGTACAGTGGCGCAATCTCGGCTCACTGCAACCTCTGCCTCCCGGGTTCAAGTGATTCTCATGCTTCAGCCTCCTGAGTAGCTGGGACTACAGGTGTGTGCCATCACGCTCAGCTAATTTTTTATATTTTTGGTAGAGACGAGTTTCACTATATTGACCAGGTTTGTCTCAAACTTCTGGCCTCAAGAGATCCTCCTGCCTTGGCCTCCCAAAGTTCTGGGATTACAGGCATGAGCCATCACGCCCAGCCTGTTTTGCCTTCTTAATTATCTTGAGTTTTCTAAATATGCAACCATATCAAAAGACATGTTTTTATTTTTTCTTTTCTGATATTTATACTTACTAGTTAACTTTTTTTCTTCTTGCATTTGCTAAAATATCTAAAATAATATTAAATAATAATGATGGTGCAGGTATCTATCTGTTTCTTGACTAAAATGCTTTCAGTAGTGTCTCTATATAAGATAATATTTGCTATTGGTTTCTGGTAGTTTTTGTCAGTTTAAATTTTTTCATGCCTACTTAGAATTTTTATTAGGAATGGCTGCTGAATTTTATCAATTATCATTTGAACAGCTGCTGATGTTTTTCTTCTGTAGTTTATCAGTGTAATGGATTAGGTTACTGGGATTTGGATATTGAACCACTCTTGCAGTTGTGGAATAAACCTTGCTGTTCATTGTATTTTACTCTTGATATAATGAAGACCTATATAAGCTAATATTTTATTTATAATTTGTATTTCTAAATCATAAGTGAAATTAGTCTATAATTATAATTGTAATTAACAAATATTACTCTATCCTTTTTTCTTTCTTATGTTTTGATATTAAAATTGTATTGGCTTCAAAATGTGAATTTAAAAGATTTTTATATGGCTTGGAGTAGCTAAACCTGCATTCCTAATCAGCATCTAGGTGGTATTAATACTACAGTCCTCGGACACACTTTGAGTAGCAAGGGTTTAAATAATTTAACATTGGGCCGGGTGCAGTGGCTCATGCCTTTAGTCCCAGCTACTTGGAAGGCTGAGACAGGAAGAACAGTTGAGGTCAGAGTTTGAGACTGTAGCGTGCAGTGATCATGCCTGTGAATAGCCACCGCACTCCAGCCTAGGCAACATAGCCAGACCCTGTCTCTTAAAAAAAAATCACTTAACATTGGAATTATCAGACCTTTAGAGGTAAATTATCAGAACTTTAGAGCTTAGCTGAAACTCAGCTACATATGTACAACTATTATATATCAATTTTAAAACCAAAAAATGTACAACTATTATATATCAGTTAAAAAAGGAAAAACAAACTCAACTCTAAGGCCATCTGGCCCTAAGGTCTTTTCAATAGTAAACGTCCAAGCACTTTACCATTACTTCTGTAATAATTGGTCCATTCATGTAATAATTTGTCCATTCACATTTTTCCTCTCTTCTTGGATGAATTTAAATAGTCTGTATTTTGCAAAAAAAAATCATACGTTTCCTATAGCTTTTCATATTCACTGTCATAGCATTGGCTGTGGTGACTCTCTTGAATCTTTTAATCGACTTCAGCTTCCTAATCTCTTTTTTTCTTTTTTCCCTCTTCAAACTTGTAAGCTGTTTATTTTATTAGTCTATCCAATAAACATTTGGAGTTATTTTCAGTAGATTTCACATATTTTCCCTCCTACTGTTCTTTATTCTTTCTTTTTTCTAAATCATTAATTCTAAATTTGACTTTTGTCAATGTCAATTTCCTGATTTCTGTTTCTAAATTTTTTTTTTTTTTTTTTTTGAGACAGAGTCTCACTCTGTCACCCAGGTTGGAGTGCAGTGGCACGATCTTGGCTCACTACAAGCTCCACCTACTGGGTTCACGCCATTCTCCTGCCTTAGCCTCCTGAGTAGCTGGGACTACAGGCACCCGCCACCATGCCCAGCTAATTTTTTTTTTTTTTGTATTTTTTTTAGTAGATACGGGGTTTCACCGTGTTAGCCAGGATGGTCTCGATCTCCTGACCTTATGATCTGTCCGACTCGGACTCCCAAAGTGCTGGGATTACAGGCATGAGCCACTGCGCCCAGCCTCTTTCTAAATTTTTGAGAGGAATAGTTAGTTCCTTTATTTTTTGGCTTTATTTTTCAGTTGCAAGGCATTTGAGAACTCCAAATATTCTCTGAGTACCATTCTCAGGGTCCTGTCTGGTGCAATAGAAAGTAATTTCCTTTTCATTGGTTTCTAGATACTTTGCGAGTCCTCTTTTACTTCCTTTTTGATCCAAGACTTATCTAAGAGTTTGCTCTTTAATTTCTAAATACATAAAGTTTTTTAGGTCATTTTTATCATGTATGTGAAATTTTTCAGTTTTTGATTTGAGAATATGACCTATAAATTATGTTGTTGTTGTTGTTAAAGCTTTCGTTGTGACCAAGCATATCAAAATTGGCTGCACTTAGGATTTTTCAGCTACATAAGCCAAGAAACTTCCTTATTGCTTAATACTCTGTGACTTGCATTAGAAAGAGTCCTGATTGATACAACTGTTGGCTGGTGTGTCAGGCCAGAAGTGCGGGAACCGTCTTCTTCCCTCTTCCTTACTGTGCACAGCAGGTGTGGCAAGTCGGCACATTCTACTTCCTCAATTTCTTTTCACCCTGGTTCCTTTTTTCACTCCTCTAATTCGAAGGGAGGGGCAGGAGAGAGGGTAGGAGAATGAATATTTGTTGAGTACCTGTTAAATTCTTATAGACTGTGCTATGACTTGTGAACTTTTTAACCCTGACAACAACCCCATGAGAAATCTAAAGCCCAGAAACAGTGAATAGCTAGTTCAAGGTCACACAGTGAGTGGTGATACCAACTCCAGAGGCCGCATTTAACGCCACAGTGCCATACTGTCTAGACAAATGTTTGCTGAATGGCTGATACCTATAAAGGCAATGCCTACTGAACTTGCTCCAGTCAACGCCCTACATGGCATTGGCCTACTCAGTCTTTTCCGAAGACAGCAATGACCCTAAAGCAGTCTAATCATTGTCAGGAGTCACACACACACATCTGTCCTCTCCCGTTTTTCTCAGGGAGTCTGTCGTCAACCACTAAATCTACCTATTCTCTGCCCAAAGCTTGCTGAGCCTGTTTGCAGAGAAAGGAGTCACACTAGCCAGGTTAGGGCCATGCCAATGGCCTGGAGATTTTCCCAGCATTAATTCACAGACACACACACACACACACACACACACACACACACACACACACACACACACACAATCTAGTCTACCAATCTGACTCCTTAAAAATCTAGCTGTCTACTGAGTCTTTCCTGAATGGCCCTGTAAAAATATTTCTACCCCCATTCCTGGGCTCCTTACAATGTCCACTAGAATGTTTATTGTTTGTTCCTCAAATCTGCTGAGCTCACGCTGGGATGGTGGCCCTAGACCCAGAGGCTTCTCCCCACACAGCCAGCACCTGTTCTTCCTTTGGGTCTCGCTCAGCTTCAGGGGCCTTTTCTGCCCATCCCACCTGACATAGGCCCCACTTCCTTCCACCAACTTATTCAGAATCTCAGCCTGTTGATGGCTTCCTTTGAAGCCTTTAGAACAACATGCAACTATTTGTTTCACTTGTGTGCTTACTGCAGGTTTGTTTGTATTCAAATATATCTGTCTTGTGTCTTTCTCCTTTAGTGGAATGGAATCAAATGGGCATCTTGAGAGCAGGAAACCTCCTTGTTGCCATTGTATCCCTAGAGCCTCACATAGGCTTCAGGTGTGTATATAGTAGGTGTTCAATATATATTTGTTGAATTAATGAAAAAAAGAATCTGAGACTTTGAACCTGAAGAGCTGATTTTATCCCTGTCACTGATGATCTGGTGGGTCCCTTTTAAGCTGCGTGATTGGAACAAATGGGTGAAATCCCCAAACTCTGGATCCGTCTCCATTTAATAGACTTTGGTTTGTCTCTGAATGATTTTTATATTCTTTTCCTATTTTGTGTGGCTGGCTTAGACCACAGTTCTAAAGGCATTTTATTTTATTTTATTTTATTTTATTTGTTTATTTATTTATTTATTTTTGAGACAGAGTCACTCTGTTGCCCACACTGGAGTGCGATAGCACAATCTCACCTCACTGCAGCATTGACCTCCTAAGCTCAAGTAATCCTCCTGCCTCAGCCTCCTGAGTAGCTGGGACCACAGGCACGCACCACTACACCTGGCTAATTTAAACAATTTTTTTTGTAGATACAGGGTCTCACCACGTTGGTCTTGAACTGTTGGCCTCAAGCAATGCTCTCGCCTTAGCTTTCCAAAGTGCTAGGATTACAGGCTTGAGCTACCAAGCTCAGCCTTTGAAGGCTTTTTTTTTTTTTTTTTTTTTTTTTTTTTGAGACGGAGTCTCGCTCAGTCGGCCAGGCTGGAGTGCAGTGGCACGATCTTGGCTTACTGCAAGCTCCGCCTACCGGGTTCACGCCATTCTCCTGCCTCAGCCTCCGGAATAACTGAGACTACAGGCGCTGGCCACCGCGCAGGGCTAATTTTTTGTATTTTTAGTAGAGGCAGCGTTTCATTGTGTTAGCCAGGATGGTCTCAATCTCCTGACCTCGTGATCTGCTTGCCTCAGCCTCCCGAAGTGCTGGGATTACAGGCGTGAGCCACCGCATCCAGCCTCTGAAGGCATTTTAAATGTCATCCCATGGAATCCTAAGTTTCTCTTATGCCTTTGGTTTGGCCTAAATGATATGACTCCGATGAGTGGGGGAACACCAGAGCTCTTGTCTCACGTTGAATTAGATAAAACAACCAGACACCCGTGGAGTGGTTTTAAGGAGCAGAGAGTTTAACAGGCAAGAAAGGAAGAAAAGAAAGGAAGAAGGTGGAAGGAAGAAGCTCCCACGTACAGAGACAGAGGGGGGGGGGGGCTCCAAAGCCGAAAGAGGAGACCCCAAGTGGGGTGGAAACCAGCCAGGTGTATGTAGAGGCTGGAGGAGGTGGTGTCTGATTTGCATAGGGCTCAGGGGATTGGTTTCACCAGGCATGTCATTCATGTAGCCCAGAAGAAACTGGCCCTTCCACCCTAGCCTTTTAACATGCAAATGCAGGGAACCCTGATGTTCTACACACATGGGGATATATGGGGGCCGCCATGTTGCCAGGCACATGTTCGGGCAAGAGCAAGGAGAAGAGGGCGGGAATGGCCATGTTTGGGTGGACCCAGATTCTAATGGCCTCCATTTGCATATCAAAGGTTGCTGGCCTGGCTTTCCAGCTAGACAAGAAATGTTTCTGACTTTAAAAACAAAAACTTCCCAAGGACCCCTTTTCATCTCTATCTGCCTAAAATAATTTCTTAATAACTCCTACCACATTAACTCTAAAGTTGTGACAATGGCAAAGCCCCATCCCTCTCCTTCAAAGGGCTGGTGTTCAGCTGGGGAAGGAGACAGATGAGCTATCCCACCCTGGAGGAGAGGGGTAACCAGGAGATGGTGATGTAGCAGAACCGGCCACAGACAAGAACCCCTCAGACACCAAGTTGTGGAACGAAAGGGCTTTATTCAGCTGGGAGCATCCGAGGACTCACGTCTCCAAAAACCGAGCTCCCCGAGTGAGCAATTCCTGTCCTTTCTAAGGGCTTACAACTCTAAGGGGGTCTGCCTGAGAGGGTCGTGATCGATTGAGCAAGCAGGGGATACGTGACGGGGCTGCATGCACCAGTAATCAGAACGGAACAGAACAGGACAGGGATTTTCACAATGCTTTTCCATACAATGTCTGGAATCTATAGATAACACAACAGGTTAGGTCAGGGGTCAATCTTTAACTACCAGGCCCAGGGCACGGCGCCAGGCTGTCTGCCTGTGGATTTCATTTCTGCCTTTTAGTTTTTACTTCTTCCTTCTTTGGAGGCAGAAATTGGGCATAAGACAATATTAGGGGTGGTGTCCTCCCTTAGTGGAAGTGCCTGAAAAGCAGAGTCATGTCCTGAGGAAGGGCAGGGATGGCAGCAGAGGAGGAAAACAACTCCATGGCATATCTTCCATGCATCCAGGCTCTCTTCCATAGCACTTCATTTCATCCTAACCACAGTCTTAGGCAGTTGATGTTCTTACCATCATTTTGTAGTTGACAGTAGTGGAAAAGCATGGGCTTTTGTGTCAGATAGGCCTAGGTTCAAATTTCATCCTCCCAAGTTATACACTATAGGCCTCTTGGGCAATGAGAGAAGAATATGGCGGGGAGGGGGAAATGTGCTTTTTTTTTTTTTTGAGACAGAGTCTCACTCTGTCACCCAGGCTGAAGTGCAATGATGCGATCACAGCTCATTGCAGCCTTGACTTTCTGGGCTCAAGCAATCCTCCTGCTTCAGCCTCCCGAAATGGAACCACAGGTGCGTTCCACTGTACGTGGCTAATTTTTTATAGAAATGAGGTCTTATTCTGTTGCCCAGGATGGTCTCGAACTTCTGGGCTAAAGTGATCCTCCTGCTTCTGCCTCCCAAAATGCTGGGATTACAGACGTGAGCCACCACACCTGGTGACAAGTGCTTTTTCTTATCCTCTCTCATCACTCAATACAATCAACACAGCACTTTTGACACCTGATGTGTGGGAGGTCTTTTCCTGGACACCAAGCAGTCAGTCAATCCTGACACCAGATTCAGGAGCTGACACCAGCTGGGTGTCCTCTTATTCAATTCAATTCTAACACTACATACCTGAAGATAGTGTCAGATCCCATGGGTTAAGGGCTCAGTCCCACAAGACTATCTCCAATTCAGATGCCAATCAAAAGCCCCACATTGTAGCCTGTGCTTCTGGCTAACTGGCTGTAAGTCAGGGTTCCCATAACTCCCTCTTGGGTTCAATTACTTTGCTAGAGTGGCTCACAAAACTCAGGATAACACTTACTTACATGTACTGGTTTATTATAAAGGATGTTCATGGCCAGGCATGGTGGCTTACGCCTGTAATCCCAGCACTTTGGGAGGCCCAGGCGGGTGGACGAGGTCAGGAGTTCAAGATCAGCCTGGCAAAGATGGTGAAACCTCATCTCTACTAAAAATACAAAATTTAGCCAAGCATGGTGGTGGGCACCTGTAATCTCGGCTACTCGGGGGGCCGAGCCAGCAAATTGCTTGAACCCAGGAAGCAGAAGTTGCAGTGAGCCGGGATCATGCCCCTGCACTCCAGGCTGGGTGACAGAGTGAGACCCCATCTCAAAAAAATAAAAATAAAATAAAGGATGTTCACAAAGCATATCAATGGAGAGATAGGCAGGGCAAGGTATGTGGGAAGAGGTAGGAGCCTCTCTACCCTCTGGGGCACGCCACCCTCCAGGAATCTCCACGTGTTCAGCTAACTGGAAGCTCTCTGAACCCAGTCCTTTGGGGTTTCATGGAAGCTTCATTACATAGGCAGGATTAGGGCGGATCACCTGAAGTCGGGAGTTCGAGACCAGCCTGACCAACATGGAGAAACCCCATCTCTACTAAAAGTACAAAATTAGCCAGGCGTGGTGGCACATGCCTGTAATCTCAGCTACCCGGGAGGCTGAGTCAGGAGAATTGCTTGAACCCGGGAGGCAGAGTTTGCAGTGAGCCGAGATCGCGCCACTGCACTCCGGCCTAGGCAACAAGAGTGAAACTCCGTCTCATTAAAAAAAAAAAAAGAGGGCCAAAAACTCCACCCTCAGATAACCTCCACACATCCATTTTTTAAAAGGGGAGAAGCATGAAACTCAATTACACATGCGAACATTTCTCCCCTCATAAATATTCATGACTTTCTGACAGCTTATAAATATGTATATTTAGCCACTCTGCTCAGTATAAATTCTTGTTCGCTTAGCCTCTTCCTTGAAGTGTCTGTTTCTGGCTTCTGAGTGGAGGCCACACTTCCCAGACTCAGAATGGCCACCCTGCAGGCTGCAACCCTTTATGAGAAATAAAGTTCTCCCTTCCAAACTTAGGAACCCCATTATTCTCCAGTTGACATTGGTTAAATCATGGCCATTGGTGATTAGCTTAACCTTCAGCCCCTGTTCTCTCCCTGGAGGCTGGGGGATGGGGCTGAAAGGTCCCAACCCTCTATTTGTACCTTGGTCTTTCCTGTGACCAGCTCCCATCGTGAAGCTACTTAAGGGCTTCCAGCTACAACTCAACTCATTAACACACAAAAAAGACACTTATCGCTTTGAAGATTCCTAAGACTTCAGGAGTTGTAGGTCAGGAAACAGGGATGAAGACCAAATATATATTTACAGTATTACAGGCAAGTTACTTAACATCTCTGGGCTCAATTGACTGATATTTATAATGAGACTAATACCAACTATAGTTGCTATGAGTACCAAAAAATATATAGATAGATATAAATTCATCGAAATGAAATAATACCAGCCTGGGCAACATAGAGAGACCCCGTCTCTACCAAAAATTTAAAAATTAGTAATCCCTGGTGGCTTGTGCCTGTGGTCCCAACTACTTGGGAGGCTGAAGAAGGAGGATCACCTGAGCCTGGGAGGTCAAGGCTGGAGTGAGCTGAGAGTATGCCACTGGACTCCAGCCTAGATGACGAGTGAGACCCTATCTCAAAAAAAAAAAAAAAAAAAAAAGTGATTTTGTGCTTGGCACAATAAATCACAGCACCTTTTTTTTTTCCGCAAGACAGAGTCTTGCTCTGTCGCCCAGGCTGGAGTGCAGTGGCGCAATCTCAGTTCACTGCAACCTCCCTGCCTCCCAGGTTCAAGCTCTTCTGCTTCAGCCTCCCAAGTAGCTGGGATTACAGGCACGTACCACCATGCCCAGCCAATTTTTGTATTTTTTAGTAGAGACGGGGTTTCACCATGTTGGCCAGGCTGGTCTCGAACTCTTGACCTCGTGAACCAACCGCCTCGGCCTACCAATCACAGCACTTTTTAATTAAGAGATTTACCCAATTTCTACCTTGTTCAGTGGCCTAGAACTTGATGGCGTCTTGCTTTGTAAGATCCTAAGGGTATTTCCCATATCAGCTGTGTGGTTTATCTCATCTCCCAGGATGTGAGTTCTTCCAGGACAGGGATAATGTCTCCTACCTTTTGGATTTAGTGGCCTATATACAGAGTGACTTTACTTACCTGCTAGTCCTCAGAAATAAGATAGCATTTGTTATGTGATATTGAATTTTCTACTCACTGGTATGTGTAAATGTTCATAGATTAGGCACATGTCTCTCTGACATAAGTAAGCATCATTTTCCACTTATCTTCCATCTCCAGGACCAACTCTCTCCATACGTGTCTGACCATAAAACAGGGTTTTTGTGATGTGAGACATTCAAGTTTTACGTTCAAATGTCATGAAAGAAAATGCAACTTGTTACAGTCACATGGATAGGAATGAAGGACAATTTAACCTCAGCTAAACTGAAGAATCTTGAAAACATTTGAGGTTTTTATATACAGTATTGTGTATATGTGGGCCTGTTTAATGATCCATTAAGCAACTCATTTCCTCTCTTATTCCTCCACCCAGCTCCTGAGAACTGCCAAGTTTCCCTATTATCACTTTCTGTTAAATCCATCCTCTTGCCTCCCATCCCTTTTCAGGCCCTCAGTATCCTTCACTTGCTCTGAAATGCTCCTGCAGTGGCTCTTGGATGTCAGTCTTACCTTCTGGAATCCAGGCTCCACACTGGTACCAGATGAGTAACTCCGAAATGCCATTGACCTTGTCCCTGCTCTGCCACCCAGTCCTTCAATACCACCTCTTGTCTACACCATGCAGTTCTCTACTTGGAACATAAGGCCCAATAACCTGGTGTTGGGCTCTGAACACTTTGACATGCTGAGTAATTTAAACTGAAGGAGACTGGAAGGTCTCAGAAGGCGGGGCTCTCTGACCTCTCCCATCCTTCGGTTTTCCACCAGTCTTTCTCCTCTGAGGTGATTCACAGAAACCAGAATTCCTCTTCCCCAAGGTGGGTCATAGAAACTAGAATCCCTTTCCCCCAAAGCAAGCCATAAAACCTAGAAAGGCCACTCCCTTTTCCTTCTCCCTTCTTCCTTGGAGACCCTCATTTCAGAGGGGTCCTGCCCCATCCCCAGGAGGAAAAAATGCTACACAGGCCAAGAAAAATCTGAACAGACAGGCCTTTCTGGATTTCCCTCCCCTGCCCCAACCTCTGTTATTACCATTAGATCACACTCTTTTTGTCTAATCATATTCCTACATGGCTAGCCATTCTTCAGTGAACCTATGCATTAAACTAGTTTTCCCTGGGTCATTGGGTCTTTATTTCTGAAGACCCCTATATCATGTAAAACTTTGATTAAATAAACGTGTTATGGTTTTCTCTTGTTAACCTGTCTTCTGTTATAGGAGTGTTGACCATGATCCTTATAACAGGTGAGGAAAGATGTCACCTTTCTGCCCCCTATAGTTTCTGGCACCCAAAGTAGGGGTGGCTGAGACACCTAATTTGCTCTGGAACCTGCAGAATAGATCCTGGGACAACTGACAAACAGCCGGCAAAGAAAAGGTAAGAATTTTTTTACCAAGGTCAGCTCTCCCGAAGCTCTGCCTCTAGTGTTCAGTTAAGAACTGAAGGTAAAAATTTCTCTATACCTTCCATTCCAAATTAGGTAAGCAGGAGAAAATCATTTGTTTGGATTGTGACTCTTGTGTAAAATTTGGTTTTGGGGTACCATTTGTTATTGATCCTTTCCCTCCCAGGGACAGCTATTTCCTTCCTGTTTGTCTCATTTTGTGTCCTGAGTGTTTGGCTTTGTGACCAGTGAGAGTACTCTGTCGGGTCTCTGCCATCAGGGGGGCAAAGTATCAGCTTGCATCAGGAAGCCAGTCGAATAGGCTGGGAGCCTCTTCTGTTTGTCAGAGTGCGTCAGCTCTCAGATGAATCGTCTTACTAAGAGGTCCCAGTTCATAAGAGGCTTTTGTTGTCTCAACCTTTGTTGTTTGGTCCTGTGGCAACAAAGGTCTTTCTTTTGACCGTCCTTGAGAGTGGCTCTGCATCTTGGGAGGGCTGCCTCTCTTGAGTAAGTCTCTTTCATCCTTGGTTAAGTTATAAAACACTTACTGGTTTTGATTCTATAATAAGTCACTTGGTAGATACCTCTGGTTTAAATGGGGAAAAAAAAAAAGCCAGGAATAGTTGTTATTTGCTCCAGCTAAAATCTAATGATAAGGGACTTGAAAGGTTTTTTTGTTTGTTTTTTGTTTGTTTGTTTGTTTGTTTGTTTTGGAGCTCTGTGGTCAGAAGTCAGGTTAATTGGAAACTGATATTCAGGATACAATCTTTTAAAGTTATTTCTGTTCTCTCTATTGGATCTTGCTTACCCTAGGAGAACATCTCAGTTGACTGATACCCTCTTCTTGAACCCCTGCAAACCATATGCTCGGTCTTTCTGCCCACTTCCTTTCTTGTTGGCATAATTTTTGCTAAGGATAATGTGGAACTTCATTGGGAAAATTAAGATCTCTCCATACTGACTTCTGAAGACTACTTCTTCTATTTACTTCTGTCCCTCCTTCCTTTTGCCACCCTCAATCTTCTGAACTTTCAATTCAGTTCTTTTAATCCCTGATATGTTCCCCTTCAAGCTCCTGTCTCCTCCATTTGTTGATCGGTGGATGGAAAATTACTAAAAGGAAACATCAGAGGTAAGAAGAATTCAGGTTTCTATGGCCAAACTTTAGTCAGGCTTCTGAACCTTCTCCAAGGCCCATCTCTGTACTTCCTTGTAAAATCCTATAGTAAATTCCTGTAAGTCTATGTTGCCTTGACATCCATTTTGAATCCTCCTCTGGTCTCACCTAACCGACACACCCAAACCTCACTCTCCTCCTGGTCTGGGCTCTCATAAAGAGTGGCTTTTTTGATAGGCCTGTCAGGGCAGGGGTAGAGTTTATAGCCACTCTCAAGAAAAAAATCTCAAGACCAAACTAGTGAAAAATGCAAAAATTCAGTTTTAGCAGAAATAGATGTCTTGTCCATTCACATGGGTCTTTGGAGACGGTTACCTGCTAGATGTCCCTTCAGTCACCAGCCTAAAATTTAGTCCACAGCTTCCATAAGATTGATCTCTGATAATAGACTTTCTCTATTCACTCTATTTGAGAAAGCCTATTATCAGAGGAACTTTGAGATATAAATTTCCTACCCTGTCTTCTCTAGAACTTGATGGTTATCTTGTGGAAATTCAAACTTCAAAGAAATAATGATCATCAGAAACCGGGTTTTACCAGAAACTGGTAAAATAAAAAGTCTTAAAATCTTTCTCCACAATACTTCAGAAAAAGCTTTAACCATCTGAGCAGGTAGCCTCAACTTGTCCCATTCGCCAGATCTAGTTAGTGAGTCTTAAATTATCAGACCTGGCACATGGCTAAATGTTTTAGAATGAAAGCTGTAAAATCTGCTTCTGTCTGATTATTAAATAATTAGATTATTTAATAATCTAAACATACATTTTTGCCTGGGTTTACTGATTATACATGTTTGTGTTGTCTCTGTTAGATGCTTAAGACCATAAAAGTATAAATCCAACCTAAGAGCAGAATGCACACTAAAAATAAATTGCCTGACGCATGTCAGTCATGGAGAAAAAAAAAGAGAGGAAAGAACCACATTGAAATTTTTAGTTTCTTGGCTTCTATAGTATTTTTGGTACTTGCCTGATTTACCAATAACAACAAAAAATACTTAAGATATTGGCCAGCTTTGTTTAATGTCTCATAAAATTTTCATGAACAGTTCAAGCATAATTGTTTAGAATAAGTAAATTAAATGAATATAAGTTGTATAAAAGTTTAAGTGAGGTTTTATTAATAATTGTTTATAAAATATCTACTTTAAAATGGCCTCAAAAATCTTTTTGATAACTTGTAACCTTAAAATAAAATTAAGTAATAAATGCCCATTAGATGTTTGAGTCATTTCCAAGTAAGTTAAAATATTGAAACAATGATTACTAAGCATGAATTTAAGTTTATATACTTTGTCATCTTGTTTTTTTGTTTGATTGTTTGTTTTTTCTTGAGACAGAGTCTCGCTCTGTCGCCCAGGCTGGAGTACAGTGGCGCGATCTCAGCTCACTGCAACCTCCACCTCCCGGGTTCAAGCGATTCTCCTGCCTCAGCCTCCTGAGTAGCTGGGATTACAGGTACGTGCCACCACACCTGGCGAATTTTTGTATTTTTGGTAGAGATGGGGTTTCACCATGTTGGCCAGGCTGGTCTCGAACTCGTGACCTCAAGTGATCCACCCGCCTTGGCCTCCCAAAGTGCAGGGATTACAGGCATGAGTCACCGCACCCAGCTGTCATCTTGTTTTTATATGGCCTAGAGAAATGAAATATATTTAGTTTGTTAATAAATATGAAAAATTGAGGAAACATGTTTCCTAAAAGTATAAAATGGTGAATGCTAATATAAGACAGTTCACAATGTTTGCTAATTTTCACTAGAAATTAAATTTAATAAGAATTTAAAATTATAATTAATGTATATAATTAACCTATTCAAAATTATAAGGGAAACAATACTGTATGCAACAAAAGTAAGTTGTGTCTGATAAAAAAAGGTATGAAGGGCTCTCCCTCTTCCCCCTCCCCGTCCCCCTCCCCCTCCCCCTCCCTCTCCTTCTCCCCTCTCCACGGTCTCCCTCTGATGCCGAGCCGAAGCTGGACTGTACTGCTGCGATCTCGGCTCACTGCAGCCTCCCTGCCTGATTCTCCTGCCTCAGCCTGCGAGTGCCTGCGCGCGCCGCCACGCCTGACTGGTTTTCGTATTTTTTTGGTGGAGACGGGGTTTTGCTGTGTTGGCCGGGCTGGTCTCCAGCTCCTAACCGCGAGTGATCCGCCAGCCTCGGCCTCCCGAGGTGCCGGGATTGCAGACGGAGTCTCGTTCACTCAGTGCTCAATGGTGCCAAGGCTGGAGTGCAGTGGCGTGATCTCGGCTCGCTACAACCTCCACCTCCCAGCCGCCTGCCTTGGCCCCGCAAAGAGCCGAGATTGCAGCCTCTGCCCGGCCGCCACCCCGTCTGGGAAGTGAGGAGCGTCTCTGCCTGGCCGCCCATCGTCTGGGATATGAGGAGCCCCTCTGCCTGGCTGCCCAGTCTGGAAAGTGAGGAGCGTCTCTGCCCGGCCGCCATCCCATCTAGGAAGCGAGGAGCGCCTCTTCCCCGCCGCCATCCCATCTAGGAAGTGAGGAGCGTCTCTGCCCGGCCGCCCATCGTCTGAGAGGTGGGGAGCACCTCTGCCCCGCCGCCCTGTCTGGGATGTGAGGAGCGCCTCTGCCCGGCCGCCCCGTCTGAGAAGTGAGGAAACCCTCTGCCTGGCAACCGCCCTGTCTGAGAAGTGAGGAGCCCCTCCGTCCAGCAGCCACCCCGTCTGGGAAGTGAGGAGCGTCTCCGCCCGGCAGCCACCCCGTCCGGGAGCGGGGTGGGGGGGGGTCAGCCCCCCGCCCGGCCAGCCGCCCCGTCCGGGAGGTGAGGGGCTCCTCTGCCCGGCCGCCCCTACTGGGAAGTGAGGAGCCCCTCTGCCCGGCCAGCCGCCCAGTCCCGGAGGGGGGAGTGGGGGTCAGCCCCCTGCCCGGCCAGCCGCCCCGTCCGGGAGGTGAGGGGCGCCTCTGCCCGGCCGCCCCTACTGGGAAGTGAGGAGCCCCTCTGCCCGGCCAGCCGCCCCGTCCGGGAGGGAGGTGGGGGGGTCAGCCCCCCGCCCGGCCGGCCGCCCCGTCCGGGAGGTGAGGGGCGCCTCTGCCCGGCCGCCCCTACTGGGAAGTGAGGACCCCTCTGCCCGGCCAGCCGCCCCGTCCGGGAGGGAGGTGGGGGGATCAGCCCCCCGCCTGGCCAGCCGCCCCGTCCGGGAGGTGAGGGGCGCCTCTGCCCGGCCGCCCCTACTGGGAAGTGAGGAGCCCCTCTGCCCGGCCAGCCGCCCCGTCCAGGAGGGAGGTGGGGGGGTCAGCCCGGCCTGGCCAGCCGCCCCATCTGGGAGGGAGGTGGGGGGGTCAGCCCCCCGCCCGGCCAGCCGCCCCGTCCGGGAGGGGGGAGGGGGAGTCAGCCCCCTGCCCGGCCAGCCGCCCCGTCCGGGAGGGAGGTGGGGGGATCAGCCCCCCGCCTGACCAGCCGCCCCGTCCGGGAGGTGAGGGGCGCCTCTGCCCGGCCGCCCCTACTGGGAAGTGAGGAGCCCCTCTGCCCGGCCAGCCGCCCCGTCCGGGAGGGAGGCGGGGGGGGGGGTCGGCCAGCCGCCCCGTCCAGGAGGGAGGTGGAGGGGTCAGCCCCCCGCCCGGCCAGCCGCCCTATCCAGGAGGTGAGGGGCGCCTCTGCCCGGCCGCCCCTACTGGGAAGTGAGGAGCCCCTCTGCCTGGCCAGCCGCCCCGTCCGGGAGGGTGGTGGGGGGGTCAGCCCCCCGCCCGGCCAGCCGCCCCATCCGGGAGGTGAGGGGCGCTTCTGCCCGGCCGCCCCTACTGGGAAGTGAGGAGCCCCTCTGCCCAGCCACGACCCCGTCTGGGAGGTGTGCCCAGCGGCTCATTGGGGATGGGCCATGATGACAATGGTGGTTTTGTGGAATAGAAAGGCGGGAAGGGTGGGGAAAAAATTGAGAAATCGGATGGTTGCCGGGTCTGTGTGGATAGAAGTAGACATGGGAGACTTTTCATTTTGTTCTGTACTAAGAAAAATTCTCCTGCCTTGGGATCCTGTTGATCTGTGACCTTATCCCCAACCCTGTGCTCTCTGAAACATGTGCTGTGTCCACTCAGGGTTAAATGGATTAAGGGCGGTGCAAGATGTGCTTTGTTAAACAGATGCTTGAAGGCAGCATGCTCGTTAAGAGTCATCACCACTCCCTAATCTTAAGTACCCAGGGACACAAACACTGCGGAAGGCCGCAGGGTCCTCTGCCTAGGAAAACCAGAGACCTTTGTTCACTTGTTTATCTGCTGACCTTCCCTCCACTATTGTCCTATGACCCTGCCAAATCCCCTTCTGCGAGAAACACCCAAGAATGATCAATAAAAAAAAAAAAAAAAAAAAAAAAAAGGTATGAAGGATGAATTTTTGTTTGAAAAGAGAAGTTGATGAATATTTTTTAAAAGTTACAAAAAGTTTGTGGAAACTATCTTGTATGATCAAAGCTGACTTAGATTGGATGAATTTATTTAAAAGGTTTTATTGAAAATTAGCTTTAGTAGTAATAGCACATAGATACAAAAGTAGAAGTTGGCCTTTTCTGTCAAAATGATGAAGTTTTATTGGGGTATTGGTCTGAGAAGATAAATTGGTCTGAGGTTTTTTCCTTTTAAGTAATTGACCTAGAAAATAGACTTTGTGTTTTATCAAGATAATTTTTTATGCCTCATGTTATTTTCTGTTGGATCTTTGATTACTTAAGAAAAGTGAGACTTCTCAATATTAAAAGAGCTAAGTTTGTTCAGAACCATGTAACTTTCTGTATTTGCCTTTAAATTTTTCTGCTGTCACTTTGATGAAATAGATAGCCAAGATCATTTTTAATTGTTAAGTCTTTTGACATTTTTTACAAACTTCCCAAAATCAAATCTTAAATTAAGTTGTTTCAATCTCAAATTAATTTTGAGATTTTTCTGTTGGACCCCTGGAAAGTTGCAAGAGATGTTTCTATTGCCTTGTAAAAGACTGATATAAAACTAATTAAGCGTATTTGATATGTTAAATTACATGAGAAGCATTGATTGTCAATGAGTAAGTGATGTTAAACCTTCAAGTTATATTTATGGGTATGTTATTGATATGAGTGCTCCAAAAATTAATATGAGATTGCTAGAAATCTAACATGTCATCAGTCATAATTTGGGTTATTATGTTAAAGTATTGTATACCACAGAAAGAATCAAATTTCCTTGTCACATGCTGGTTATAATGAACTCTCATCAAATTTTTAACCATGGCCATTCTGCCCTTGTTATCCACAGTATTGTTTTGATTCTTGTCCAAAAGCACCTGGATCACTGCAGTCCCCCACCACAAGTTGCTTTTTCTTCAAGCAGATTCATGGGAAAAACTCTGACAAGTACTCTTGAATACAGATTTATGTTAATTATTTAAACAAAGTAATATACTATGGCACAAGTAAAATTTTACTATGTAACTAACACAGCCAAGGAAGAATTGAGTGCTAGGTGTTAATTATTTCCCTAGATGAATCTTTTAAAAACCCACAGGTCTGCAACATGAATTGTCTTTTAAATTAAATTTGGCAGTAGTGATTCTTTTTTTTTTTTTTTTAAATTTTTATTTTTTTTATTGATCATTCTTGGGTGTTTCTCGCAGAGGGGGATTTGGCAGGGTCATAGGACAATAGTGGAGGGAAGGTCAGCAGATAAACAAGTGAACAAAGGTCTCTGGTTTTCCTAGGCAGAGGACCCTGCGGCCTTCCGCAGTGTTTGTGTCCCTGGGTACTTGAGATTAGGGAGTGGTGATGATTCTTAATGAGCATGCTGCCTTCAAGCATCTGTTTAACAAAGCACATCTTGCACCGCCCTTAATCCATTTAACCCTGAGTGGACACAGCACATGTTTCAGAGAGCACAGGGTTGGGGGTAAGGTCACCGATCAACAGGATCCCAAGGCAGAAGAATTTATCTTAGTACAGAACAAAATGAAAAGTCTCCCATGTCTACTTCTTTCTACACAGACACGGCAACCATCCGATTTCTCAATCTTTTCCCCACCTTTTCCCCCTTTCTATTCCACAAAACCGCCATTGTCATCCCGGCCCGTTCTCAATGAGCTGTTGGGTACACCTCGCAGATGAGGTGGTGGCTGGGCAGAGGGGCTCCTCACTTCCTAGTAGGGGTGGCCGGGCAGAGGCGCCCCTCACCTCCCGGACGGGGCAGCTGGCCGGGCGGGGGGCTGACCCCCCCACCTCCCTCCTGGACAGGGCGGCTGGCCGGGCGGGGGGCTGACCCCCCCACCTCCCTCCCGGACGTGGGGCTGACCCCCCCACCTCCCTCCCGGACGGGGCGGCTGGCCGGGCGGGGGGCTGACCCCCCCACTTCCCTCCCGGACGGGGCGGCTGGCCAGGCAGAGGGGCTCCTCACTTCCCAGTAGGGGCGGCTGGGCAGAGGCGCCCCTCACCTCCCGGACGGGGCGGCTGGCCGGGCGGGGGGCTGACCCCCCCACCTCCCTCCCGGATGGGGCGGCTGGCCGGGCGGGGGGCTGACCCCCCCACCTCCCTCCCGGATGGGGCGGCTGGCAGGGCGCCTGAGCCCCCCACCTCCCTCCCGGACGGGGCGGCTGCCGGGCGGAGACGCTCCTCACTTCCCAGACGGGGTGGCTGCCGGGCAGAGGAGCTCCTCATTTCTCAGACGGGGCGGCTGCCGGGCGGAGGGGCTCCTCACTTCTCAGATGGGGCGGATGCTGGGCGGAGGGACTCCTCACTTCTCAGACGGGGCAGCTGGGCAGAGACGCTCCTCACCTCCCAGACAGGGTCGCGGCCGGGCAGAGGCGCTCCTCACATCCCAGACGGGGCGGCGGGGCAGAGGCGCTCCCCACATCTCAGACGATGGGCGGCCGGGCAGAGACGCTCCTCACTTCCCAGATGGGATGGCTGCCGGGAAGAGGCGCTCCTCACTTCCTAGATGGGATGGCGGCCGGGCAGAGACGCTCCTCACTTTCTAGACTGGGCAGCCAGGCAGAGGGGCTCCTCACGTCCCAGACGATGGGCGGCCAGGCAGAGACGCTCCTCACTTCCCAGACGGGGTGGTGGCCGGGCAGAGGCTGCAATCTCGGCACTTTGGGAGGCCAAGGCAGGCGGCTGGGAGATGGAGGTTGTAGCGAGCTGAGATCACACCACTGCACTCCAGCCTGGGCACCATTGAGCACTGAGTGAACCAGACTCCGTCTGCAATCCCGGCACCTCGGGAGGCCAAGGCTGGCGGATCACTCGCGGTTAGGAGCTGGAGACCAGCCCGGCCAACACAGCGAAACCCCGTCTCCACCAAAAAAGTACGAAAACCAGTCAGGCGTGGTGGCGCGCGCCTGCAATCGCAGGCACTCGGCCGGCTGAGGCAGGAGAATCAGGCAGGGAGGTTGCAGTGAGCCGAGATGGCAGCAGTACAGTCCAGCTTCGGCTCGGCATCAGAGGGAGACCATGGAAAGAGAGGGAGAGGGAGACCGAGAGGGAGAGGGGAGAGGGGAGAGGGGAGAGGCAGAGGCAGAGCAGGAATTCAGATTTTTTTTTTTTTGGCAGTAGTGATTCTTAAGAGCCTGTGAGTATCGTGACTTTTTAAAAAGTGCTGTTACAAGATCCATTTTTTTCCCTAAGAGACAATTTTTTTAATCATTAAAGAAGAAATCATTGTATCACCAGTAAGAGTGGTGTATTTAAACAGAATATTACAAATTCCCTCTAGAAAGTTTATTTTGTAAACTTATTTTGTAATTCGTTTCAAGATTTGCTACTGGCATCAGTTTTGCTGGGAGGAGGCATAATTTCTGTTTCAGTCATTTTGAAGTTTATTACCATTTTGTTGTCAGAAGTTAATTCTATATATGTTTTTATATAACAAACACAATTTTGAAATCATTACCATCTGACCACTTGTTTTCTTAGCTGATTTGTAGCCTTCTTATTACTGGCAATATTACTGTAAGGCTAGCCGAGAGAAAGGATGAGTAGACCTAAGTCAAGCAAGTTTATTAACCTGCTGGGCTGCTCCTTAACAGTCAAAGGAGGCAGCCCTGAACTCACAGAATGAGGAGTTTATATGGGGTCGGAGGGGCTTAAGGGAGTTTCTGGGTATAACCGCATCCTGGGGTTGTTTGTCGGTTATCTTTACCGCTAAGAGTATCTATTAGCTTGTAACAGGCACAAAGGTAGTTCATCAGCTTGTAATAGACTTATAACACGTCATTCCCTGACTTTTAAGGTGGCAGTTAGATGAAAAACAGGAATTTACAAGAATGTGTAACTAAGGTTTGTTCACATTTCCCACGACTTCCCCGGTGCTGCCCAAATGGCTGTAATTAGGGTTTGCTCCACTTAGCATGTCTGGTAACTTTGCTGTGGCACCCAGATAAGTGTTTAGGAAGGCAGCTGCAGAGTATTCAGGGTAAGGGGAAGTTGGGGGGATTCCTGGGGTAGCTTGTCCCTAACAATTACCAAAGTAGCTTTCAGTATTTTCACTCTAGAGGGAAGGATTAGCCTTTCTCATTTGCATGATTTAAGAAAAGGGGAAAAGGGAAGCTTCTTTTTTTCCTCCCTCTTCCTAGTCTTTAAGGCAAACACATCACTTAAAGATAGTTGATTAGGGGAAGTGGACAGGGTTCGGAGGTAATATTTCTGATGTCTAGATGTCTAAAATAGAGACCCCTAAATTGTGTACATGAGACACACAGTTCTGTCTTCAAACATTTGTTCATTCACTTATTTAAAAAAAAATTGCTCATTGAGCATCTACTGTGCTCCAGGTGCTGTGGTAGGATTAAAAGATGACTGGCCAGTACCTGTGTAGCTCAGACTCGGGTAGTGGGAAGAGACCTGAAAACAACTGACCTTAAAATATAACCAGGACCAGCCAGGCGCGGTGGCTCACGCCTGTAATCCCAGCGCTTTGGGAGGCCGAGGCAGGCAGATCATGAGATCAGGAGATTGAGAACATCCTGGCTAACACGATGAAACCCCATTCCTATTAAAAATACAAAAAATTAGCCAGGTGTGGTGGCGGGTGCCTGTAGTCCTAGCTACTCGGGAGGCTGAGGCAGGAGAATGGCGTGAACCTGGGAGGCAGAGCTTGCAGTGAGCCGAGATCGTGCCACTGCACTCCAGCCTGGGCGACAGAGCGAGACTCCATCTCAAAAAAAAAAATATCTATATCTATATCTATATCTATATATCTATATATAGATATAGATAGATAGATAGATAGATAAAACTAGGACCAGGCAAATGTCTTTAGAAGCCTTAAACACACTGAACACTGTGTGATGTGCTACCCATCTATAACTTTCCATATGTAAATAAGTAAATAAGTGTAAAGAAGTCCAATATAATTGTGATTACTTTCCTTAAAGATGACATTTACTTGAGGAGGGAGGAGCTACATATTTTTCCACATTTTTATTTTATTTTATTGCCCTAGCTTTTTGAGTGTCCTAAGGCTGTGCTTCCGTTACCTGGGAAATCCAACCCTAAGAACAACCTAACCCCTAAGAACAACGCTAAGAGCACTTGAAGGTATTCATAAAACTCAGAGGAATCCCTGAGGACTGGGCAGACACTTGAGAAGTGGCCATCAGTTGTATTGAGCAGTTAGCATGTAACACTGTGTGGAAACACACAGGTTTTCCTTGGGGGAGTGAAGACAGAGACAAATGTGGGGCAATGAAGTCAGAGACAAAGACACTTAATGGCTGTCTCTTCCCAAATATACACCATGTTTGGGAAGAATGCATCTGGAGGCTTTTGGGAAAAAGAAATATTTCATAATCAAGTGTTTGCCTAGGATGCTGCCCTTTTCCTAAAGGAAATTTATCAACATCTGTTTCACAGCCACAAGATAATTGCATGTTTATTGAAGTTTTGAGATCCATTTATACTGGCTAGAGCACTCACTGAACAGTTTTGTAGTCTTCTTATAAAATATTAGATTGGGACTTGTTAGAGTTATAGATTATAAACACCACCCAAATTCAACATTCTGTAAATTTTTACCACCAGTTTTATGGCTGAGGCTATCTTAGCTCTCTTGACTTCCATCCCTAGTACAAGTTGTTGGCATTTTGAAAGGAACCCTTTCCCCTATCTACAGCAAAACAAAATTTAAAATAATTTAACAAAGTTGACTTTTCACTGAAAAAGTTAAAAAAAGAAACAAAAGGCAGGGCGCGGTGGCTCACGCCTGTAATCCCAGCACTTTGGGAGGCCAAGGCGGGCAGATCACGAGGTCAGGAGATCGAGACCATCCTGGCTAACACGGTGAAACCCCGTTTCTACTGAAAATACAAAAAATTAGCCGGGCGTGGTGGCGGGCGCCTGTAGTCCCAGCCACTCGGGAGGCTGAGGCAGGAGAATGGCATGAACCTGGAAGGCAGAGTTTGCAGTAAGCCAAGATTGTGCCACTGCACTCCAGCCTGGGGGACAGAGTGAGACTCCATCTCAAAAAAAAAAAAAAAAAAAAAGAAAAGAAAAAAAATTGACCAAGTCCCTTTTTAAAAAATTATTTATTTATTTATTTATTTAGAGATGAGATCTTGCCATCTTGCCCAGGCTGGTCTTGAACATCCTTGGCTCAAGCAATCCTCCCACCCCGGCCTCCCAAATTGCTGGGATTACAGGTGTGAGCCACTGTGCCTGGCCAACCAAGTCCCTTTGAGTCATTTTGTACCAAAGTGAATGCAGCTGTTAGCTGGATTCTCACCAGCTAAGTGATCTTCAGCCCACATTATTTGAAGAACAGGCAATTCCAATTCACATTTGAGTCACAGCGAGATTTAAAATACAGTGCTGCACTTTACAGGTGTTCTGGCTCTTTTAGCCAAGATGTTAAATGTGAGACATCTAAAGGACTATTCTCTGAACATGGCCAGATACCAGACATGCTAAGCATGGTTAGAGCTGAGCCCTCTGCAATTCTGGGGGCTGGTGGGTACCCTCTTCTCCTTTTGGGATTCCTCTCTGTTTAGCTCCTATTGGAGACAAATAGTTCCAAGAAAGATGTGAAGAAACAGAATAAAGGCAAAACGTGAGTCTGGGGAAGTAAGTCATTGCCTAGGTAAGAAACCTACTTTTAGTCGAGGGCTTTTAGGATATCTGCATATAAATTGGGACTTTTAAGGTAACTCAAAGATTCATTCATTAAACCAATAGTATTTCAGCCCTTGGGATGAACTCAAACTCTTGACTTTCTTAGACAGACTCTACCCTGTCACACAAACTCAAGAGTCATGGTGGGGGCATCTCAACTAATTAGGTAATTCTGAGCTACAGCATAATTGGATACCAGTTTTAAAAGAGATGAATGCTTGCTCTCCATGTAAAACAAACAGAAAGGAAAGCAGCCTTCTCCACATTGCAGGAGAAATGGTTTTATTGCCTCAATTGGGAATATCCTCATTAAAAACTGGTCCTACACACTAATTACTGTTTTAATGGATTAAATGGAAAGACATACATTGAAAATGTCACAAGTAGTTAAGCTTTGTATGGTGGAATTGCTAGAGGTTTTTTGTTTTGATATTTTGGTAATTCTCAGATTTTCTTCATTGAGCATATTATTCATTCATTCATTCATTCATTCATTCATTTTTAGAACCAAGCAACACCTCATTCTATGCCATAGAATGAGTGTTCCCCTTGGCTTAATTTTTTTAAATTATACGTGTTTGGGGAGAAAATTTAAGTGGTACATGAAGTTTGAAGTTGAGAGGAAATGTATTTTATTATTGTATAAAAGACTCAAGTTGGACTAATTCAATACTCAAAAATCATCATTTCCTTTAATGTGGTGATTCTCAACCCTGGCTGCACTTTGTAATTACCTGGGAAGCCTTAAAAATACCAATTCCAGATCACTCACTCAATCTCTACAACCAGATCAAATGGTTCAGAAGCAGAATAGGGCCAATTAGTATTTTTAGAAGATCAACTTATTATAATATCTAAGGTTCCATATTGCAATTCTTTTATCTTTACAGCATTGACTAGGAAGTTACATTACAGACAGTCCCTAACTTACAATAATTCCACTTACAATTTTCCAACTTCATGATGAATTTATCTGAACTAAATGCATTTTCAACTTAATAATTTTGTTTACTTATAATAAGTTTATCTGGACATCACCCCATATAAGTTGAGGGACTTTCTGTACTTAAAATTTGACTCTGTAGGTGTATTGTTACATTCTTTTATTACCATGGGAGAAGGTGGTAATACCTACTACAAAAGTTTTCCAGGCTCTATGGTACAGAACTTGGGGACTTTTATCAGCCATGTGGTCACTTGCTGAAGCAGCCCCAGAGGTGGTTTCTGAGGGAAACAAACTTTCCTGTAGGTAGATGACTTAAGCTCACTTCCATGCTACACTAGGGTGGTCTTCTATTCAGCTGTGTGTCCCCACTCCATTCCTTAATTTTTATAACAATGCAATACGTTATATACCTTTCCATCTGCATACCTCTTCTCATGGATAAGCAGCTTGAGCTGGGAATCTGAACTCAAGGTCTTGCCAGACTTTTAACTCAGTCTCACCACTGCCCAGTTCTTACTAAACCTCATAAATAGCTGGCAAAAATGCTATTTATGAAGAATTATCAAGGAACATGCCCCCTTGTACTCCTCTAAACAATCTTTAGGCCAAGTTCTGTGGCTCACACCTGTAATCCCAGCACTTTGGGAGGCCGAGGCAGGCGGATCATTTGAGGCCAGCTGTTGGAGAGCAGCCTGGCCAACATAGTGAAATCCATTCTCTACTAAAAATACAAAAATTAGCCAGGCATGGTGGCACACGCCTGTAATTCCAGCCACTCGGGAGGCTGAGGCACGAGAATTGCTTGAACCCAGGAGGTGGAGTTTGCAGTGAGCTGAGATGGCACCACTGCACTCCAGCCTGGATCACAGAGCAAGACTCTGTATCAAAAAAGTCTTTAAAAATCTGATTTTTAATCTTGAATTATCTCAGATTATCAGACAGATAAGTACTTGGATGGGATCATTTTAGCTTCTCATACGTTACTTTCAGTGCTCATACTGTAATCCCTCCATACTCTTTAAGCCTACATTAGGAAATGTCTGTTCTAGTTATTATAGAACTACTGTTAAAGGCTTAGATCACTCTTTTTCATGCATCACCTCCATTTTGACGAGAAATTTCTCTAGGTTTTAATTTGTTTGTCTTTTATGGACATGGCCAATCTCCTAAATATTTGTGTTCCCTCTTTGCTTTGCCTGATCAGAAGCTCAGGGTCTAATGTGCAGTGATGTCTAGCATTGTATAGGAACCTTAAAGCACGCACTAAAGCTGCTCTAGGCTTTATTTTTCCTGTGCCTGATTTCTTCATTTTGCATTTGGTATCTTATTGCATATGTGAGTTTGTAAATGGCTCAAATCTCCTTAAGATCAAGGGTATAAATCAGAGTTTCTCAGCCTTGCCACCATTGGGCCGAATAACTTCTTGTTGAAAGTTAGGGAAGGCAGGGCCTGTCCTGTGCATTGTAGGATGCTTAGCGGCTTCCCTGGCCTCTACCCACTAGATGCCAGTAGCAATTCTCTGCCATCTCCCTGAATTGTAGAAACTAAAACTGTTACTAGACATTGCCATATGTCTCAGGCAGGTGGTGGTTGGGTGGGGCAGGGCGGATGGGAGGTGCAAATCACCCATGGTTGAAAACCACTGGTATAAATAAATACAATTGTATTGAGCACCTACTATTTTCTAGGCTATGTGTAGGCCATTATCTTTGGGGGACACAAAGATGACTGAGGTCCAGTTACCTGTCCTCAAAAAAAACCTACAAATAAGTCAAAAGAAAAGGTGTACATGCTCAGAATACACGTATATAAATCTCATGTCTGCTATTAGTATAGATTCCTGTATATTTTTAATAACCGTGGGAAGGAGGAAGTGAAAATAGTATCATTGTCATTTAGAGAAAAAGCACAGAGGGAGCCAAGTATCAGTGCTGTAATGATATCCTAGTGTCCTGAGCGCCAGACCAGAGGGTTCTCCACCACATCTGGAAAGGGGTTTGCAAGTTCAGAGGAGGGAAAGGCAAATCCAACATGGAAGGTTAGAAATGGCTTCCTGGTGGATGGGCACTAGGGATGGGATGTTAACAGGTAAAGAGGAAGACAGGAGACGGTAACTGACAGCAGGAATAGATATAGAGGGGCTGCTTGCTGAGTAGTGATGGGATAACTTATGGAAGTAGAAATCAAAAGGACTGAAGAAATAGGGTAGGTCACATTGTGAAGAGCTTCAGAGGGCACGCATAGAGGGTCTGGGTGTGAAAGGGCAGTCTTCCTCTAGAACCATGTATGCCTGACACCAGTTTAATAAATTATAGGACAAAAGTAGAGAAGAAGCTTAATAAATTAGGTTACTGGAGAGGTTAATGATGGAAGACAATGGAGGCATCGATAGACCCAGTTTACCCTCTGCTTTTTATCTCTTCCCCTCACAAATGTTTTAGTGAGCCAAGTCCCTTTGACTTGCTTGATGAAAGGAGGATAACTAAACTTTGCCAGTGTCAGAAACTTTCCAAGTCTTGTGCTATGAAAAACACAAATACTCCTGAGAGGACTCCTAATTTAAGCATTATCAAGCATGAGCACCATTTTTAACATGAAGAAAAATGTTTTGGAGTACACTTTGTTTATATAAATTGTGTAGCTTAAATTAGGAAATGCCATATCTTCAACTACACATAATCATTTTTTAATTTCCTTATAACTGAGAGTTTTCATTCTTTTGGCTAAAATTTCAGAAATGACACCATTGGTAGATGAGGCAGAATCTTATCCTGATGCAGAGACTTATGAATTCTGGGAGACCCAGAGGTTCTGTGGGAGTAGGGGAGGGAATTGGCCCTAAATACACACTCAGTTGCAGGACTAAAGGGCTTACTGTGGGGTTTCTGGCTTCTGGAGAAGCTCAAGAACAAGGGAGGTCCTTGAAAGGAACAGATCTGAAGGGATCTGGGAGGCTGCAGGAGATGTAGGAGTCCAGAAGCCAACTACTGGTATGAAACTAACCTTTCTCCACTTTCAATGTATAAAGAGGAAGGGATCCTTTCCCTGGCTATGGCCTAACACAGGTGACAAAAAGTAGGGCCTTTTCCACTGACTTTATTTTACTTTCTTGTTCCAGAAATTAGGTTAATCTCTAATGAGGGGCTGGTGGGTTGATGCGACCCATGGAATTATTTGGTAGGTGGCTGAATGCCAGAAGGAGGCATACAGAGGGCAAAGGAGGGGCTGGAAATAGGGGGAATTAAGAGCCCTGGAACGCCAAGGAGAGACTTACTCAGCTGTTTTACCTGATCCCATCTGGATAGCTCAGATTGGCTCAGAAAAACAGAGCCCAGCGCAAGACCCCAGGGAGTCAATAAATAGTAACTGCTGAGAATAAAACTTCCAGTTAGGAGCAAGCCCCCCAAAATCTGGCCATAAGCTGGCCCCAAAACTAGCCATATACAAAATCTCTGCAGCACTGTAACATGTTCATAATGGCCCTAACACCCAAGCTGGAAGGTTGTATGTTTACGGGATGAGGGCAAGGAACACCCGGCCCGCCCAGGGTGGAAAACTGCTTAAAGACATTCTTAAGCCACAAACAATAGCGTGAGCAATCTGTGTCTTAAGGACATGCTCCTGCTGCAGTTAACTAGCCCAACCTATTCCTTTGATTTGGCCCATCCCTTCGTTTCCCATAGGGGATACTTTTAGTTAATTTAACATCTATAGAAACAATGCTAATGACTGGCTTGCTGTTAATAAATATGTGGGTAAATCTCTGTTCAGGGCTCTCAGCTCTGAAGGCTGTGAGACCCCTGATTTCCCACTTCACACCTCTATATTTCTGTGTGTGTGTCTTTAATTCCTCTAGCACCATTGGGTTAGGGTCTCCCCAACTGAGCTGGTCTCGGCACCTTCCAAAAGACAGGGGACTTGGTAGAATGGAAGAGCACAGACGTTGACTATAGCTCACCTGACCTTGAGCCTGACATAGCTGCTTAAGTTTTCCAAGTATTGAACTTCAAAATAGAAGAGCCAAGCATGGTGGCTCACTCCTGTAATCCCAGCACTTTGAGAGGCCAAGGCAGGCGGATCACCTGAGTTTGGGAGTTCAAGACCAGTCTGGCCAACATGGTGAAACCCTGTCTCTACTAAAAATACAAAAAATTAGCTGGGCGCTGTGGTGGGTTCCTGTAATCCCAGCTACTTGGGAAGCTGAGGCAGGAGAATTGCTTGAACCTGGGAGATAGAGGTTGCAGTGAGCTGAAATCGCCCCAGTGCACTCCAGCCTGGGCAACAGAGCGAGACTTCATCTCAAAAAAGAAGAAGAAAAAGTGGTCACAAGGCTAGAATGTCATAACACACATAAGGCTGCTTAACATGAAATCTGGCAGGAGAAACCTCTCAAGAAATTTCAGTTTTTCTTCCTTTATCCATGAATAAACAATTGTGTGTTCCCAGGGGAAATGCTTTTTTAAGACTTTAGGTACAGGCGCAGTGGCTGACGCCTGTAATCACAGCACTTTGAGTGGCCAAGGCAGGTGGATCACCTGAGGTCAGGAGTTCAAGACCAGCCTGGCCCTGGCCAATATGGTGAAACCCCGTCTCTATTAAAAATACAAAAAAAAAAAAAAAATTAGCTGGGCATGGTGGCAGACACCTGTAATCCCAGCTACTCAGGAGGCAGAAGCAGAAGAATCGCTTGAACCCGGGAGACCAAGGTTGCAGTGAGCTGAGATTGTGCCACTGCACTCCAGCCTGGGCGACAGAGTAAGACTTAGTCTCAAAAAAATATAAAATAAAATAAAATAAAAAAGAAGAAGAAAAAATGGTCTCAAGGCAATCTGATCAATCTGATAGCATACATAAGGCTGCTTAACATGGAATCTGGCAGGAAAAACATCTCAAGAGATTTCAATTTTTCTTCCTTTATCCATGAATAAACAATTGTGTGTTCCCAGAGAAAATGCTCTTTTAAGACTTTAGGTAGAGACTGAATAGATCACTGCTACTGTTAGTGTCCTTTGGCCTCCATCTGGGGGTTGGGAGGAGGGCTTCTTGCACAACCTACAGAAGTTCCATTGTTTTTGCTTCCTCTCTACCATATCCCGTTCCCATAGACATGTGGCGAACAGTTATTCACTGTTATAGCATCAGTCACAAAGACATTCCCCATACCCACCCAATGGAGTTTCCAGATAAAAATACAGAATGCCAGTTAAATTTGAATTTCAGATAAATGATGAATAATTTTTTAGTGTGCCTTAAATATTGCATGTGACATATTTATTCAAATTTAACTGAATAGTCTGTGGTTTGTTTTTTTTTTTCCTACATGTGGCAACTCTATTTAATCATCCAAGTACAATTTCTGTTTTTTCTTGACTTAAAACCAAGGTTCCTGCTTCCCAGTTTCTTTAGCAACCACTGAGTAAAAAGAAAGATGGTGGCAATACCAAGACAGTGGCAAGGATGTGGCACAACTGGAACTCTCATACATTACTGATGGGAGTGTAAATTGCTACTGTTAGGGTACGTAGACAGGCAGATACGAGCAGTACAGGATAGGGCCTTAAAGAATGTCAGGCAACTGTCCAGTGATTGTCAGGTGGCTGGCAACAGGAAGCGGAAATTTTCCTAACAAACAGGAGACTTCTTGACTTGTGGGCAACAACTTCCTGATAAGAACTCAAAATGGTGGAGCACCTTTCTCTGGAGACATGTCCAGGCATGCCCAGTAAGGGGCAAAATGGTGGAGTTTGCCCTTTCTCTGGGGGCATGTCCAGGCATGTGTAGTAAGGGGCAAAATGACAGAGTTTGACACATATATGACCTTCCTCTGGGGCTCTAGACTGGTAAGGGAAATTGCCCTAAGAGAGCATGTGCATAACTTCAACCACCAAAGGGCGCATGCAGCCCCTCCCAGATACTGGCAAGACACTGCACATGCAGTGAGTAGCCAACAGCTCACCCAGAGCCAGGGACAAGAAGAAGAGATGTGGGGGCGGAAAGACAGGAAATAGTAAATCTATAAGACTCCTGAGCCAGTGATCAGGTGAGGAACTCAATCTTTTGAGTTGCCTACTTGGTTTCTTCCAAGTGTACTCTTGTTTCAGTAAACTCTCATTTCTGACTTAAATCTACTTCTGTCTCTTGGCCAAGTTCTTTCTCCCAAGAAGATAAAAATTGAGGACTGCATAGCACACCTGGACTTCTTGCAGGTAACAGTACCACTGCTCCGGAATATTAACCCCAAAATATCACTCCTGGGTTGAAACATAACAGAAATACATATATATATATATACCCACCTAAAGATAGTGCAGGAAAACTCATAGCAGCACTATGCTATTCATAACAGTCCAAACTGGAAATGATGCAAAAATAGCATGGATAAATAAGTAGTGGTATATTTATATAATAAAATATTATACAGCAATAAGAATGAATGAGTTATTGTGCACTCAATGTGGCTGACTCTCACAACCATAATTTTGAGCAAAAGAAGTCAGACACAAAAGAAAACATAATCTATAATTAATCTAGTACTTAATATATCTGTACATAAGGTTCAAACACAGGCAAAACCAGCCTCCTGTGTTAGAAGACACAGTAGAAGTAAAGTCTGGGTGGAGAGTTTTGAAGACGGTGAAGGGGTTATGATGGAGGTAGGGGAGAGACAACTTCTAGGGTGCTGGCAATGTTCTAGTTCTTTTTTCTCTTTTTTTTTATACTTTAAGTTCTAGTGTACATGTGCACAACATGCAGGTTTGTTACATACGTATACATGTGCCATGTTGGTGTGTTGCACCCATTAACTCGTCATTTAACATTAGGTATATCTCCTAACGCTATCATTCCCCCCTCCCCCCACCCCACAACAGGCCCCAGTGTGTGGTGTTCCCCATCCTGTGTCCAAGTGTTCTCATTGTTCAATTCCCACCTATAAGTGAGAACATGCAGTGTTTGGTTTTCCGCCCTTGCAATAGTTTGCTGAGAATGATGGTTTCCAGCTTCATCCATGTCCCTACAAAGGACATGAACTCATCCTTTTTTATGGATGCATAGAATTCCATGGTGTATATGTGCCACATTTTCTTAATCCAGTCTATCATTGATGGACATTTGGGTTGGTTCCAAGTCTTTGCTATTGTGAATAGTGCCGCAATAAACATACATGTGCATGTGTCTTTATAGCAGCATGATTTATAATCCTTTTGGTATATATCCAGTAATGGAATGGCTGGGTCAAATGGTATTTCTAGTTCTAGATCCTTGAGGAATAGCCACACTGTCTTCCACAATGGTTGAACTAGTTTACAGTCCCACCGACAGTGTAAAAGTGTTCCTATTTCTCCACATCCTCTCCAGCACCTGTTGTTTCCTGACTTTTTAATGATCGCCATTCTAACTGGTGTGAGATGGTATCTCATCGTGGTTTTGATTTGCATTTCTCTGATGGCCAGTGATGGTGAGCATTTTTTCATGTGTCTGTTGGCTGCATAAATGTCTTCTTTTGAGAAGTGTCTGTTTATATCCTTCACTCACTTTTTGATGGGGTTGTTTGATTTTTTCTTGTAAATTTGTTTAAGTTCTTTGTAGATTCTGGATATTAGCCCTTTGTCAGATGGGTAGATTGTAAAAATTTTCTCCAATTCTGTAGGTTGCCTGTTCACCCTGATGGTAGTTTCTTTTGCTGTGCAGAAGGTCTTTAGTTTAATTAGATCCCATTTGTCAATTTTGACTCTTGTTGCCATTGCTTTTGGTGTCTTAGACATGAAGTCCTTGCCCATGACTATGTCCTGAATGGTATTGCCTAGGTTTTCTTCTAGAGTTTTTATGCCTTTAGGTCTGACTTTAAGTCTTTAATCCATCTTGAATTAATTTTTGTATAAGGTGCAAAGAAGGGATCCAGTTTCAGCTTTCTACATATGGCTAGCCAGTTTTCCCAGCACCATTTATTAAATAGGGAATCCTTTCCCCTTTTCCTCTTTTTGTCAGGTTTGTCAAAGATCAGATGGTTGTAAATGTGTGGTATTATTTCTGAGGGCTCTGTTCTGTTCCATTGGTCTATATCTCTGTTTTGGTACCAGTACCGTGCTGTTTTGGTTACTGTAGCCTTGTAGTATAGTTTGAAGTCAGGTACTGTGATGCCTCCAGCTTTGTTCTTTTTGCTTAGGATCATCTTGGCAATGAGGGCTCTTTTTTGGTTCCATATCAACTTTAAAGTAGTTTTTTCCAATTCTGTGAAGAAAGTCATTGGTAGCTTGATGGGGATGGCATTGAATCTATAAATTACCTTGGGCAGTGTGGCCATTTTCACAATATTGATTCTTCCTATCCATGAGCATGGAACGTTCTTCCATTAGTTTGTGTCCTCTTTTATTTCGTTGAGCAGTAGTTTGTAATTCTCCTTAAAGAGGTCCTTCACATCCCTTGTAAGTTGGATTCCTAGGTATTTTATTCTCTTTGAAGCAATTGTGAATGGGAGTTCACTCATGATTTGGCTCTCTGTCCGTTATTGGTGTATAGGAATGCTTGTGATTTTTGCACATAGATTTTGTATCCTGAGACTTTGCTGAAGTTGCTTATCAGCTTAAGGAGATTTTTGGCTGAGATGATGGGGTTTTCTAGATATACAATCATGTCATCTGCAAACAGGGACAATTTGACTTCCTCTTTTCCTAATTGAATACCCTTTATTTCTTTCTCCTGCCTGATTGCCCTGGCCAGAACTTCCAACATTATGTTGAATAGGAGTGGTGAGAGAGGGCATCCCTGTCTTGTGCCAGTTTTCAAAGGGAATGCTTCCAGTTTTGCCCATTCAGTATGATATTGGCTGTGGGTTTGTCATAGATAGCTCTTATTATTTTGAGATATGTCCCATCAATACCTAATTTATTGAGAGTATTTATCATGAAGGGCTGTTGAATTTTGTCAAAGGCCTTTTCTGCATCTATTGAGATAATCAAGTGGTTTTTGTCTTTGGTTCCATTTATATGATGGATTACATTTATTGATTTGCGTATGTTGAACCAGCCTTGCATCCCAGGGATGAAGCCCACTTGAACATGGTGGATAAGTTTTTTGATGTGCTGCTGGATTCGGTTTGCCAGTATTTTATTGAGGATTTTCGCATCAATGTTCATCAGGGATATTGGTCTAAAATCCTCTTTTTTTGTTGTGTCCCTGCCAGGCTTTGGTATCAGGATGATGCTGGCCTCATAAAATGAGTTAGGGAGGATTCCCTCTTTTTCTATTGATTGGAATGGTTTCAGAAGGAATGGTACCACCTCCTCTTTGTACCTCTGGTAGAATTCGGCTGTGAATCCATCTGGTCCTGGACTTCTTTTGGTTGGTAGACTATTAATTATTGCCTCAATTTCAGAGCCTGTTTTTGGTCTACTCAGGGATTCAACTTCTTCCTGGTTTAGTCTTGGGAGGGTGTATGTGTCCAGGAATTTATCCATTTCTTCTAGATCTTCTAGTTTATTTGTGTAGAGGTGTTTATATAAGTATTCTCCAATGGTAGTTTGTATTTCTGTGGGATTGGTGGTGATATCCCCTTTATCATTTTTTATTGCATCTATTTGATTCTTCTCTCTTTTATTCTTCATTAGTCTTGCTAGGGGTCTATCAATTTTGTTGATCTTTTCAAAAAACCAGCTCCTGGATTCATTGCTTTTTTTGAAGGGTTTTTTATGTCTCTATCTCCTTCAGTTCTGCTCTGATCTTAGTTATTTCCTGCCCTCTGGTAGCTTTTGAATGTGTTTGCTCTTGCTTCTCTAGTTCTTTTAATTGTGATGTTAGGGTGTCAATTTTAGATCTTTCCTGCTTTCTCTTATGGGCATTCAGTACTATAAATTTCCCTCCACACACTGCTTTAAATGTGTCCCAGAGATTCTGGTACGTTGTGTCTTTTTTCTCATTGGTTTCAAAGAACATCTTTTTTTCTGCCTTAATTTTGTTATGTAGTCATTCAGGAGCAGGTTGTTCAGTTTCCATGTAGTTGAGCAGTTTTGAGTGAGTTTCTTAATCCTGAGTTCTAATTTGATTACACTGTGGTCTGAGAGACAGTTTGTTATAATTTCTGTTCTTTTACATTTGCTGAAGAGTGCTTTACTTCCAACTATGTGGTCAATTTTGGAATAAGTGTGATGTGGTGCTGAGAAGAATGTATATTCTGTTGATTTGGGGTGAGGAGTTCTGTAGATGTCTATTAGGTCTGCTTGGTGCAGAGCTGAGTTCAATTCCTGGATATCCTTGTTAACTTTCTGTCTCGTTGATCTGTCTAATGTTGACAGTGGGGTGTTAAAGTCTCCCATTATTATTGTGTGGAAGTCTAAGTCTCTTCATAGGTCTCTAAGGGCTCACTTTATGAATCTGGGTGCTCCTGTATTGGGTGCATAGATTTTTAGGATAGTTAGCTCTTCTTGTTGAATTGATCCCTTTACCATTATGTAATGGCCTTCTTTATCTCTTCGGATCTTTGTTGGTTTAAAGTCTGTTTCATCAGAGACTAGGATTGCAACCACTGCTTTTTGTTTGTTTTCCATTTGCTTGGTAGATCTTCCTCCATCCCTTTATTTTGAGACTATGTGTGTCTCTGCACGTCAGATGGGTCTCCTGAATACAGCACACTGATGCGTCTTGACTCTTTATCCAATTTGCCAGTCTGTGTCTTTTAATTGGGGCATTTAGCCCATTTACATTTAAGGTTAATATTGTCATGTGTGAATTTGATCATGTCATTATGATGTTAGCTGGTTATTTTGCCCATTAGCTGATGCTGTTTCTTCCTAGCATCAATGGTCTTTACAATTTGGCGTGTTTTTGCAATGGCTAGTACCGGTTGTTCCTTTCCATGTTTAGTGCTTCCTTCAGGAGCTCTTGTAAGGCAGGCCTGGTGGTGACAAAATCTCTCAGCGTTTGCTTTTCTGTAAAGGATTTTATTTCTCCTTCACTTACGAAGCCTAGTTTGGCTGGATATGAAATTCTGGGTTGATAATTCTTTTCTTTAAGAATGTTGAATATTGGCCTCCACTGTCTTCTGGCTTGTAGAGTTTTTGCCAAGAGATCCACTGTTAGTCTGATGGGTTTCCCTTTGTGGGTAACCCAACCTTTCTCTCTGGCTGCCCTTAACATTTTTTCCTTCATTTCAACTTCAGTGAAGCTGACAATTATGTGTCTTGGAGTTGCTCTTCTCGAGGAGTATCTTTGTGGCATTCTCTGTATTTCCTGAATTTGAATGTTGGCCTGCCTTGCTAGGTTGGGGAAGTTCTCCTGGATAATATCCTGAAGAGTGTTTTCCAACTTGGTCCCATTCTCCCTGTCACTTTCAAGTACACCAATCAGATGTAGATTTGGTCTTTTCACATAGTCCCATATTTCTTGGAGGCTTTGTTCATTTCTTTTTACTCTTTTCTCTCTAAACTTCTCTTCTTGCTTCATTTCATTCATTTGATCTTCAATCACTGATACCCTTTCTTCAAGTTGATCAAAACGGCTACTTAACCTTGTGCATGCGTCACGTAGTTCTCGTGCCATGGTTTTCACCTCCATCTGGTCATTTAAGGTTTTCTCTATGCTATTTTTTCTAGTTAGCCATTCATCCAATGTTTTCTCAAGGTTTTTAGCTTCTTTGCAATGGATTCGAACATCTTCCTTTAGCTCAGAGAAGTTTGTTATTACCGATCTTCTGAAGCCTTCTTCTCTCAAATTTTCAAAGTCATTCTCCATCCAGCTTTGTTCCATTGCTGGCAAGGAGCTGCGTTCTTTAGGAGGAGAAGAGGTGCTCTGATTTGTAGAATTTTCAGCTTTTCTGCTCTGTTTTCTCCCCATCTTTGTGGTTTTATCTACCTTTGGTCTTTGATGATGGTGATGTACAGATGGGGTTTTGATGTGGATGTCCTTTCTGTTTGTTAGTTTTCCTTCTAACAGTCAGGACCCTCAGCTGCAGGTCTTTTGGAGTTTGCTGGAGGTCCACTCCAGACCCTGTTTGCCTGGGTATCACCAGCAGATGCTGCAGAACCGCAAATATTGCAGAATGGCAAATGTTGCTGCCTGATTGTTCGTCTGGAAGCTTCATCTCAGAGGGGCACCTGGCCATATGAGGTGTCAGTTGGCCCCTACTGGGAGGTGCCTCCCAGTTAGGTTACTTGGGGGTCAGGGACCCACTTGAGGAGGCAATCTTTCCGTTCTCAGATCTCAAACTCCGTTCTGGGAGAACCACTACTCTCTTCAAAGCTGTCAGACAGGGACCCTTAAGTCTGCAGAAGTTTCTGCTGACTTTTGTTTGGCTATGCCCTGCCCCCAGCGGTGGAGTCTACAGAGGCAGGCAGGCCTCCTTGAGCTGCGGTGGGCTCCACCCAGTTTGAGCTTCCCAGCCGCTTTGTTTACCTACTCAAGTCTCAGCAGTGGTGGGTGCCCCTCCCCCAGCCTCGCTGCCGACTTGCAGTTCAATCTCAGACTGCTGTGCTAGTAGTGAGCAAGGCTCCATGGGCATGGGACCCTCTGAGCCAGGCATAGGATATAATCTCCTGGTGTGCTGTTTGCTAAGACCGTTGGAAAAGCACAGTATTAGGGAGGGAGTGACCCAATTTTCCAGCTGCCGTCTGTCACAGCTTCCCTTGGCTAGAAAAGGGAATTCCTCAACCCCTTGCACTTCCCGGGTGAGGTGATGCCTCACCCTGCTTTGGCTCATGGTCTGTGGGCTGCACCCAATGTCCTGCACCCACTGTCTGACAAGCCCCAGTGAGATGAACCAGGTACCTCAGTTGGAAATGCAGAACTCACCTGTCTTCTCCGTCGCTCACGCTGAGAGCTGTAGACTGGAGCTGTTCCGATTCGGCCATCTTGGACTTCACCAGTGTTCTAGTTCTTGAATCATGTTGTGGTTACAAGAATTGTTCACTTTGTGAAAATTAATCGGTCATTTGATTTCTGCACTTTACTGTATGTATATTACACTTCAATTAAAGGTTTATTTAAATAGAAAAAAAAAGGCCAGGCGTGGTGGCTCACACCTATAATCCCAGCACTTTGGAAGGCCAAGGCAGGTGGATCACGGGGTCAGGAGATCAAGACCATCCTGGCTAACATGGTGAAACCCCGTCTC